>NT_187555.1:0-175808 GCF_000001405.40 Homo sapiens
GAGACATGAAAACCCATACAAAGGATCAATGAAACCAGAGTTAGTTCTTTGAAAGAATAAATAATATTGATGGACTGGTAGGTAGACTAATAAAAAAAGGAGAAAATACAAATAAACACAATCAGAAATGATAAAGGTGATATAACCACTGACATCACAGAAATACAAAAACAAACAAACAAAAACCTTCAGACAAGACATTATTACAAACATCTCTAGGCACACAAACTAGAAAACCTACAAGAAGTGGATAAATTTCTGAAAACATTCAAACTCCCAAGATTGAACTAAAAATAAACTAAAACGCAGAACAGGCCAATAATGACTTTTGAAATTGAATCAATAATAAAAGCCTGCCAACCAGAAAAAGCCCTATACCAGACAGATTCACAGCTGAATTTTACCGGATGTATAAGGAAGAGGTAGTAACAAACCTGCTGAAACTATTCCAAAAAATTTAGGAGAAGGGATTCCTCCCTAACTCATCCTGATATCAAATCCTGGCAGAAACACAGCAGAAAAAGTTAAAACTTCAGGCCAATTTCCCTGATGAACATAGATACAAAAATCCTCAAGAAAATACTGTATTCAGCAAACTGAATACAGTAGCATATCAAAAAGTGAAGTCACCATAATCAAGTAGGGTTTATCCCTGGGATGTAAAGTTGGTTCAACATACATGAATCAATAAATATGGTTCATCACATAAACAGAACTAAAAGCAAAAAACATATGATTGCCTCAATAGATGCAGAAAAAGCATCTGATAAAATTCAACATCCTTTATATTAAACATCCTCAATAAACTAGGCATTGAAGACACACACTTCAAAATAATATGACAAGAGCCATCTCTGACAAGTTCACAGCCAAAATCATATTGAATGGGCAAAAACTGGAAGCATTCCCTCTGCGAACTGGAAGAAGAGTATTACTCTCACTACTTTTATTCAACATAGTACCGGATGTCCTAGCCAGAGCAATCAGGCAAGAGAAAGAAATAAAAGGCATCCAAATAGGAAGAGATGAAATCAAGCTATCTTTCTTCACATACATAATGATTTTATACCTAAAAAAAAAAACAGGGTTTCTGCCTAAAAGCTTCTAGAGCTGATAAACAATTTCACCAATGCCTCAGGATACAAAATCAATGTGCAAAATTTACTAGCATATCTATTCACCAAAAACATCCAAGCTGGAAGCCAAGTCAAGAACAAAATACCGTTCACAATAGCCACAACAATATTAAAATACCGAGGAATACAGCTAACAAGGGAGGTGAAAAACCTCTAGAATGAGAATTTAAAAACCCTGAATTAAGAAATCAGAAACAACACAAACAAATGGAAAAATATTCCATACTCATGGATAGGAAGAGTCAATATTGTTAAAATGGCTATATGGTCCAAACCAATGTACAGATTTAACACTCTTCTTATCAAACTACCAATGGCATTTTTCACAGAATTAGGAAAATATATTCTAAAATTTATATGGATATAAGGGGTTGCATAGCAATATATTCAAGCTTCTGTACAAGGCATTTGAGGTCAGGGCATAGAAAAACACTGAGGTACTGTGTGTATGTTGTTTGTGCATGAGACTGTAACTCCTTGACCCTGAAAACAGGACAAGCAATTGAGTGTGTGATACGGAATGCTGAAAACAGTCTCCTAAGAATGTAGTTTAACTGCTTTTACAAGGCCATATGTATCTCATGACCCGACGGCAAAATGCCATCTGGTGGATGTCTGTAGTAGCAAGCCCTTTCAATAAATACTTGGTGGATGGATTCTGGGGGGCACTCTCTCAGAAGAGCTGCCCCTCACCCCGCTCAGCTGGAATTGTCTGAGTACTCATTCTTAGCATTCACTGAAAGCTATAAGCTGCAATGGAACCAAAAGAGAACCCAAATAGCCATGATAATCCAAAGCAAAATTACAAAGATGAAGGCATCATACTATCTGACTTCAAACTACACTACAAGGATACAGTAAACAAAACACCACAGTACTGCTTAAAAAGTAGACACACAAACCAATGAAACAGGTTACAGAACCCAGAAATAAAGCCTCACACCTACAATCACCTGATCTTCGACAAAGCCAACAAAAACAAGCCATGAAGAAAGGGAACCCTACTCAATTAATGGCAAAATAAATGACTAGTCATATGCAGAAGATTAAAAACGGACCCTTTCCTTTCACCATATACAAAAATCAACTCAAGATAGACTAAAGACTTAAATGTAAAACCAAAAACAATAGAAAACCTTGAAGAAAACCTAGAAAACACCATTCTAGACATAAGCCCTGGCAAAGACTTCATGTCGAAGATGTCAAATGCAATTACACCAAAAATAAAATTGGCAGAAGGGACCTAATTAAACTAAAGTTTCTGCACAGCAAAATAAACTATCAACAGAGTAAACAGACAACCTACAGAATGGGAGAAAATATTTGCAAACTACGCAACCAACGAAGGCTTAATATCCAGAATTTATAAGGATTTTAACAAATGAACAAGTAAAAAACAAACAACCCCATTATAAATTGAGCAAAAGATATAAACAGACATTTTTCAAAAGAAGTTACACACATGACCAACAAGCATATGAAAAAATGCTCAACATCTCTAATCATTAGAGAAATGTAAATCAAAACCACTGTGAGATACTATCTCACACCAATCAATCAGAATAGCCAACATTAAGAAGTCAAAAAATAAGAGATTCTGGTGAGGTCATGGATAAAAGAAAACATTTATACACTGCTAGTGGGAAGAGAAATTAGTTCAGTCACTGTGGAAAGCAGTTTGGAGATTTCTCAAAGAACTTAAAACAGAACTACCATTCCAACCTACCAATCCCATTATTGGGTATATACCTAAAGGAACACAAATCATCCTACTTTAGAGACACATGCACACATGTGTTCACTGCAGCACTACTCACAATCAAAGATGTGGAATATACCTAAATGCCCATCAAAGGTAAACTGAATAAAGAAAATGTGATACATATACACCATGGAATTCTATACAGCCATAAAAGAGAATGAAATCATGCAGCAACATGGATAGTGCTGTAGGCCATTATGCTAAGTGAATTAATTTAGGAGCAGAAAAGAAAATACCGCATGTTCTCACTTGTGTTTGAGAGATGAACATCAAGTACACACGGACACAAAGAAATGAACAACAGACACCAAGGTCTACTTGAGAGCTGAGGGTGGGAGGAAGATAAAAATAAAAAATCTACCCATCAAGTACTATGCTTATTACGTTAGTGATGAAATACTCTGTGCACCAAACCCCCATGACACACAATTTATGCATGTAAGAAACCTGCATGTGTACCCCCGAACCTAAAATAAAAGTTGAAAATAAAATAAATATATAAATAGAATGAAACAGTTTTTGTAATCACCTTAGCTTACTTTCTTAGAAAATTCTGTTATCAATAGGAATATAATTTATTCATGATGTAATATTTCATATTTTTAATATTTAGAAGCATGTAAATAGCATGCCAATTTTATATATGTGAATTAGTCCATATGTAAATGGGACATAATTATACAATAATGAATTATTTACTAAACTTATAATTCCCAAATTTCCAAACTCATGTTTTATATTTATACACATTTTTTTTTGGATACAGAGTCTCACTCTTTTGCCCAGGCTGGAGTGCAGTGGTAGACTCTCGGCTCACTGCAACTTCCACATCTCAAGTTCAAGTGATTCTCCTGCCTCAGCCTCCCAAATAGAGGTATATGCTTTTTATGTGGTAAGCTTTGGTGATGTCTGAATATTTAATAACTTGCATGGCACAGACACAGAACAGACACTAGCTTTGACAAAAAGAAAAGGACAATCATTAGTGTGCAAATTTAGAAAATATCACCCCTTGTAGGTCACATTACAATTTAGTAATTAATAGAAATCTTTGACCTAATTCTTACTCTTGGGACCATTCTTCCTTTCATATCCAAGTGACTTTCCTCCCTTATCTTCTTTGTCTTTGCACAACTATCACCTTTACAGTGACTACTCCTTGACCATCCTATTTAAAATGGCACATGTACTTTCCATCTTCCTCATTCTGCTTAATATTTCTCTATAGCACTTATTGCGAATAAAATTTTATTGACACATAGCCATACCCATATATTTAGCTATTGTCTGGGGTTGCTTTGTCACCACAGTGCCAGTTTGTAAAAGTATGAGAGATCCCGTGGCTGGCAAAGCCTAAAGAAGTATATAATATCTGGTC
The DNA here is from genome assembly GCF_000001405.40 of Homo sapiens. Taxonomy (NCBI): domain Eukaryota; kingdom Metazoa; phylum Chordata; class Mammalia; order Primates; family Hominidae; genus Homo; species Homo sapiens. The sequence goes on from NT_187555.1 coordinate 4,277, forward strand.
TTTGCAGAAAGGTTTGCCAATCCACACCCTGCATAATTCACTTATTTATTATGTTCATTGTCTGTCTCACCTCAGCAGATTATAAATTCCATGGAAACAGAAGTTTTCTCTTTTTTGTTCTTTGCATCACTTTTCTATCCCAATTACCTATTAACAGCACTTGACACATAGTAGGCACTTAATAAATATTGGTAAAAAAAGGAATGGATAAATGGAAAACTAAACAAAATGTTTATCACATTTTCCATATATTTGCTCTCTTCACTAGTTATGTTTTTAAAAGACTTCTGCACAGCAAAAGAAACTACCATCAGAGTGAACAGGCAACCTACAAAATGGGAGAAAATTTTCGCAACCTACTCATCTGACAAAGGGCTAATATCCAGAATCTACAATGAACTCAAACAAATTTACAAGAAAAAAACAAACAACCCCATCAAAAAGTGGGCGAAGGACATGAACAGACACTTCTCAAAAGAAGACATTTATGCAGCCAAAAAACACATGAAAACATGCTCACCATCACTGGCTATCAAAGAAATGCAAATCAAAACCACAATGAGATACCATCTCACACCAGTTAGAATGGCAATCACTAAAAAGTCAGGAAACAACAGGTGCTGGAGAGGATGTGGAGAAATAGGAACACTTTTACACTGTTGGTGGGACTGTAAACTAGTTCAACCATTGTGGAAGTCAGTGTGGCGATTCCTCAGGGATCTAGAACTGGAAATACCATTTGACCCAGCCATCCCATTACTGGGTATATACCCAAAGGACTATAAATCATTCTGCTATAAAGACACATGCACACGTATGTTTATTGCAGCATTATTCACAATAGCAAAGACTTGGAACCAACCCAAATGTCCAAAAATGATAGACTGGATTAAGAAAATGTGGCACATATACACCATGGAATACTATGCAGCCATAAAAAATGATGAGTTCATGTCCTTTGTAGGGACATGGATTAAATTGGAAATCATCATTCTCAGTAAACTATCGCAAGAACAAAAAACCAAACACCGCATATTCTCACTCATAGGTGGGAATTGAACAATGAGATCACATGGACACAGGAAGGGGAATATCACACTCTGGGGACTGTTGTGGGGTGGGGGGAGGGGGGAGGGATAGCATTGGGAGATATATCTAATGCTAGATGATGAGTTAGTGGGTGCAGTGCACCAGCATGGCACATGTATACATATGTAACTAACCTGCACAATGTGCACACATACCCTAAAACTTAAAGTATAATAAAAAAAAAATTTACAGTTTCATTAAAAATAGGTATATGAGAACTTAAAAAATAAAAAGCAGTATGTAAATTTTTTTATGGCAGGCATTATAAATTGTGGCCAATTATTCATAATAAAAATAAAAATAAATTGTTTAACGATTTCATGACTTTTAATATATTATAGAAATATGTAATATATTTAATTTTTGTATTGTCAGACATAATTCACTGGCAGATGGAAAAATAGGAGTACTTTACCCATTTGAAAGTAAAAGTGAAAATGGATATTGCTATTCTTTTTTTAATGTGACAAAAATTTTTTTAAAAAATGGATTTATGATGTGGAAAGAGTATAGAAAAAAAGCTGCTTCATTTTAGTGTTCATAATAGACAAGTAAAGTAATGTAAAGAGTTGTCAGATTTGAACACAAGATATTAAGAAAGTAGATTTCAAAAACATGAAAAAAACAAAATTTCAAAAGACTTTACGTGTGACTACGGCTTAAAACAAATGGAAAAAATGTGGTAAGTAAATTTTGATAAAACAATATGACGCAATGTCAGTGACAAAGAAAAAGTTCTTTCTTAGACAAGACCTAAGAAATATAAGTAGTTTTTCAAGTTAATGGTTATGTTAAAAGCTTATGTACAGAAAATTGTGAAACATTTTCAGTCATTAGCTGAGACCTGACACCTGATAAAGGCTAGGAAATGTATGTTACAATATTACGAGTCAAAAAACAAAAAGAAAAAGAATGTTCCCACTAAAAAGAAAAGATGGTGTACTGTTCTACATTGAAAATAAGAAAAATTAATTCTCCACTTTACCATGGCCAGTTGGGTTCCCAGGTGCTAGAAAACAGATTCTGAGACATACATTAGCCTGAAGAATGTTTGTTGTGGAGTTCTCCTGGGATTATCATCTGTGGAAGGAACAGAAATAAAGAACTGAGCAAACGACGAAGATGAGTTGTAATGCACTCCCAACCAAAAGGGCACCCTTTGGGAGTACTCTGGAGATATGGCCCATCAGAATTGTTTCAAGTTGAAGTGACATAACCAGGACATTTTACCCTTCCTTTGATAAGCCATGGGTGAGGCTACTATTGGAAGGAGTAATAATGTGGATCATGGTAATTTTCTTCAGAGGAACAATTCACAAATAGGGCTTAAATGCAAAAATGTCTTTGGGCAGAATTCACAATTAGTGTGTTGATAACACAGGGAGTTCATGCATGAAAAGACATCTAATCAATGTATCATAATATCAATTATAGTCCACTAACTTCAATGAGGTCTGGGAGTAGTTCCGCTTGGGTCGCGGTGAACCTCTCTTGCTGAGGTACTTAGAAGATTAAGGTTAATGGAATAGGTTCTAGTCCTTGCTTCTGCAGCTATTCTCAGGACCACAACAGAACAATCATCATTTCCATCCTCTGCTGTATATTCTTAATTCCCCTTACCTTCTGGGGGCTTATTTGGTGTTGCAAACCAGGCATCATCCCAGAGGGTTGTGAGAAGTTGGTTAGCATGCCCTATTTGGTGATATGTCTTTTATTTATTCTTGTTGTTCATGTTTTCTATATATTTGCTGATTTTTTTCCTAGTAAATGTATCTATCATTGAGAGTAGAATATTGAAGTCACTCAAAATTTGTCTATTTCTTCTTTTAATTCTTTGTGTTTGCTTACTATATTCCTGGGGTCTGTTTTAACATGCTTATGTATTCACAGTTTTTAATCTCTTGATAATAATAGATACTTTAATTGTGATGATAAGTTGTCTTTAGTAACATTTTTAAAACTTATTGTGATAAAATTAATGTAGTCACTTCATCTCCTTTATGCTTTCTTTTTGCACAGCATGCCTTCTTTAATTCCTTCAGCATTTCAATTTATTTTCATATTGATGGGAATAGAATTGTGGGTTATGTGTTGTCAGGGTAACCCCAACTGTTTGCCAGTTTACTTATATCATTCTATTGTCCTCTGACTTACATAGTCTCAAAGAGAATTCAGTATTTCTCACAGTTTTCTCCTTTATATAATGATCCCCTTCCCCCTACAGCTTTCTTCAAGATTTTCTTCTTTACCTTTTGTTTGTATAAGTTTAAATATGATATGTCTAGGTGATATTTTTGGTGGAGTGCCCTTACTTATCCAGTTTGGTTTTCTATGAGATTCTTGAATCTGTGGTGGCTCTTTATTATAATTTTGGAAAATCCTCATCCATTAGGTATTGAAATATTTTTTCTCCTTTTTTGAGACACAATTATGCGTATATTACAATGTTTAACATTGATTCATAGCTTTTGGTGGTCTTATGGTTTTTATTCTTTCTCCTTTTTTCTCTTTACGTTTCTGTATGGATAATTTTTAATGATTTCATATTGAAATTCATTAATTATTTCCCTAGGTATTTTGGGTCTATTCTGAAGTTTGTGACAGTGGCATTTTTCCAAATACATTTTTCTTACAATTTTTGTAGCATTTTCATTTAATTTTTTAGTTTTCATTTTATGGTATTTTCTATCTGATCTTGCAACTTTTTCATTAGAATCATTAATCTATTTTAATCATAGTTATTTTAAATTCTCCATCAGACAGTTTGAATATTAGTATCATGCCTGTGTGTGCTGAGAAAAACGACTTGACTCCTGAAAATGGCCACAGCTTTTCTTCTACTGGGCCTTTAGTGCAAGGTGTTAAGTAATCTAATTAGGAGTTGGGTTGGGTTAGATGTTAGTTTTGTTTTGTTTTTGGTTGCTATGAGTACCCTCAGTGAACCACAGATTTCAAATTCCTATAGCTACTTCATGGGTTTATGGTATAGATTGAGTTTTTAGAGCAATGTCGGTTGGAGTATAAAATTTAGGTCTTCCCTTTATATTTGCCTCACGACCTTTGCATTCTCTTGATCCTTCTGTCCTTCTTCCAGGAATAATATACTGTTGATTGTTACTCAAAACTTGTTAAATTGGTCATGAGGAGGGCAGTTGGAGGAGTCCATTCTCTGTGGCTCTGGATTAAACTTCTGTCTTAGGTATGACTATGTTCCCAAGTCTCAGGATTGTAGGCTTACTTTTTTCACCCACCAAGGACTGTAGTTGTGGGCAGAGTACCTATCCTGCCCTTCTCCTAAGAACAGCTCCCCCCTCCCCCTTTTTCCTTCCCACAGATGCAATTAGTCCTTACCAATGCCTTAAAAACAACAATGCTTTTTGTCCTTATACCTACCTACTGAGGCTTTTGCTTCACAGTGAAGGTATGCAAGAAAGATCTCGGTACAATTTCTTGCACTTTTATACAGCTCCTGTTACCCAACCCCAGCTTGCATTCCAATCAAACTTTTTAGGGATCTTTCTGATATCATCTGTGAGTAGAGTTAGTGTAAGTATGTCTGCAAAAGGGTATGAACTTCCCCAGTTTCTGTGACTCCCAGGCCACAGGTTTATACTGTTCACCACTTCACATTCAGCTTTTAAAACTTTTCAAATATTCTGTTTGAACTCTTCTTACTGATTTCCAGTGGCTTGTAACCCGGATGAGCAAGTACTCACATCTACTGTTTCCCAAGAAAAGTATTTTATCCTTAGATTTTGGCCAGTTTGTTGTTCTGCATCCTTAGCTATGCAAGGAGTTTAAAAATAAAATCTGAATTTAAAGTTGACCTGATTTTTAAAATTACATAATGAAATGACCTTTTTCTGTTATCTACATTTACAAGCAGAAGTATACTTAATTTTAATTAGTAGTTATTCCCATTTCTCAGAATATTAAGACAGCTTAGCTATAGCCACCCAATTCCATTGTCCTTATAGCCATTATTTCAACTCTACTATTCTTCTCATCTAAACAGAGCAAATATTTCTCCACAAATAAACCATACCACTAGTTCATAAAGCTTACCACCAGTAACTTTTATAAATTACATAGCTATCTTTTTTCAGGAACTGTCTATACTTCACCTACCTGCAATGACAGTTTCTCATTGTTAAGGCAGCAAGTGATTCAACTCCAAAATTTAACTTTAAATTTGCTTGTTTGATCATTTCTGACTTCAACATTCAAGTTGAATTACAAAGGAAATGGAATATGACACGTAGATATGCACACAGGAAATGTATAGGGGCTGCTGGAATCAGTGTTCTTGAAATGGAGGAAAAGGAATGAGGATTACGAATATAGAAAATGTGAGTGCTATTCAGTTGCAACCAATGCTCAGCTGACCCCACAAGGATTTCTGAAACTAGGATACACTTCAGAGTTGTCCTAAATTGAGAAGAGGACTTCCATACTCCTATGTTGTTAGGCCATTGGAGGGGTCTGCCCACAGAAAGAGTCATGACATTGGGAAAAGTAGTTTTCTACAGCTGAGACAATGCTAAAGAGAGCTTACAGCTAAGACTTGTTAATTGGCAAAATTTGAGCAGGTAGCTACAATGACAACTTCACGCGAGAAAAGAGATCTGGGTGGCATATTATAGCCTCCACCATATTTACTTTTTTTTCCTTTTAAGTAAAAGTATCCTTAAAATTAATAGAGTTATCATTATTAAGGATTTACTAATTAAAATACATATTCTGGTTCTACAGAGTCCACTGACTAGTTGGCATGAAGTGGAAGTAGGCAGGCAATAAAAATACTGTAGTGTGAACATTTATATTGTTACTAAGCTGGAACTTTTCTGGAAAGTGCCCCTGCCTCTGTCTGCCTTAAAAACAAAAGCGCCTGTGCCTATATAAATTTAATGTTTACTCCAAGAAATCCTCACCCAAGAAGTTAGGATTATGAACTAATAAATAACTTTACTGTTTGCTTAAAGAAATTATTGCAACAAAAGTATCTGAGAAAACTATTTGTTCACATCTGAGCAAACAACTGTCAGACAACATTTTTCACACCTAAAGAAACAGCTCAGTTATTACAACAGTTCCAACTAGTCTTCAAAATCTTCATCCTTCTTTGTCTAGCAATCCTATTGTGTAAAAACTTTATTCAGTTCCAAAACATTCCCCATCTCTAAAGACCCACTTTAAGCCACTCGAGCTAATACTTTAAAATCCCATAAATACCCTTCGCTAACATCCTGTCTTTGAGACACTATTGAGACTGTGTCCAGGTAGTGTTCTTTGTTGCTGCACAAATTTAATAAACTAAGATTTGCTTAACCAACAGATGTTTTGGTGGTTTGTGGAAGAGACTATAATTATCCATTCTGGAAATCACTTCAAGAACCTTTTAAGATCTTCTTGGCATGGTTGAAGATCCTCAATTCAGAAACAGTACATTATCCTGTCATCTAATAAGTATCCTATATGGGAACCTTTCTGACCACAATAGTAAATTACGCCCCACATTTAGCCTGAGCTATGATTTCTATTGTCTAGATCAGTTATAGCCTACAGACTATAATTGTTCATTTATGTCTATGTCTTTGCTGCCACACCAGCAGTGTCAGATAGGACAAAGACAATATGATCCCCACAACTGAAAATATTTACTATTTACTCCTTTAGAAACAATATTACTGATCTCTTATTTCAAACTGATGGCTGAGTTTATCTCCTGAGAATGGAGGAATCACTCCTCTATAAATCATTTGCTTATGTGCTCATGAATTGAAAACTCTTATCTTTGGTAAAAACACGTCAGTAGCAACACTCTAACTTTTCTCTCTGTTTGTCCTTGTCACTTTTGTTTTGAGTCTTTTTAAGAAGGAGTTTATAGAGTAGAGTGGGCATAGATCCAAGAAGTCTGTCCCTTAAGATGGCCCCAGTGCTCGTAAGATAAAAAAGTCGTATCATGTGTTAATCCTTACTAGGTAAATTTTGTCTTCCTTAATGTTTCAAACTTAATGAAGAGTTTCCTATGTCTTGTAGTTGTTTATTTGTTTTATACTTGTCTAGATCAGGAATTGCCGAATTATGGCCTGTAAGTCACACCTTTCTTTTATGTGTATGGCTATGAATTTACTTGGTTGCCTCTGTTCAGTGCTGGAGGTTTCTCTGCACTACAGTTGGTGATGGTTGGTCTTTGACCAGATTCTGAAGACACTTGATTTTAGAAACACCATTTTTACCTACTGCAGTTCTCTTAAAGTCTTATTAGTCTCTCCGCCAAACAGAGCTTTCTTCATGTTTTAATTCATGTATACATCTCTCTAACTGACACAATTTCACCAAGAACAATTTGGAAATGCACTGCCAAGTTCAGGAATATTTTGATCTGAAGATGATTTTTCAATTTAGAACACAAAAGAGAAAACTTCCATGAGGAAATCCTTTTTATTATCTGTCTATAGAAGTAACATAGAAAACCTCTTTGTCTCCGTATTTCAGAGATTAATAATCTGTTACACTTTAATTTATTTTTTATTTGTTATTTTCTTATATATATTCTTATTTCCTCTTTGATAAATTAAGTTTCTATAATGTGTACTGATACCAATTAACTGTGATATCCACAAGGCTTTTATCAATAGTATTATTCTTGGCTTCCATGGTCACTCCATGGTAAGAGCATAATATTTGGCTAAAATTAACTTATGATTTTCCTAAAATATGCCTGGCTGTGCGCAGTGACCAGACCCCATGCTTGCTCACCCACACACCCCTCCCCTGGTGCTCTGTGCCTGGCTCTCCCTTAGCAGGCGTGGGATCCAGGCCGGTAGCAAGAGAGGAGCGCAGCCTGCTAAGCCTAGCGGGCCGGGCAAAAGGAGCCCAGCGGCGCAAGCAATACTCACACAGAGATGCTGCAGCCCACACAGCTTTCTGGCTGGCACAGTGACACCCCAAGGATCCTGTGATAGTATTTTAAGCCCATCTGATCCTATTAGTCTTCTTGGGCAGTCATAACAAAATACCACAGATTGGATGGCCTAAACAACAAGAAATCAATTTTCTCACAATTGTAGAGGCTAGAAGTCCACGATCAAGGTGCTTGTTTATTCGATTTCTGCCAAGGCCTCGCCTCCTGACTTGTAACTGGCTTCCATTTTATGTAACCTCACATGGCCTTTCCTCAGCGCACTAAGAGAGTGAGCGACCTCTCTGGTGTCTTTTCTTATAAAGACACTAATCTTGTCGAAACAGAGTCCGACCATTATGACCGCATTTCACCATAATTACTTAATTAGAGGCTCCATCTTCAAATATATTTAAGCTGGGAGTTAGAGCTTCAAAACCTTTTTTTTTTTTTTTTTTTTTGAGGAGGGAGGCACACATTTTCCATCCTAATGAGATCTTGTCTAATTTAGGCAGCAAATGAAGCACTGAGCCAACAAAGTTTAAGGTTTCTCCTAGCATTTAACACAAAGTAAAAACCAAACACCAGTATTTTGAGATCCACTTCACAACGAGAGAAAGGTAAAAGCAATTTACCTTACCTCACCCTACAACGAACTTGTTTGTTCCCAACAAGAGGATTAGAAAAAACACAACAGGGCCGGTCTGGGCAGCCGACCGCTCTAGGGGTCCACCCCAGTCCTCTGCGCGCGCCGGCTGCCCTGGCCCAGTCGCTGTGGACCCCACCCAGGCGGCGCGCGCAGAATCAGTTCTGAGCCTCCTCGCCTCCCGGCTCTCCCGCCTGTTGCGGGTGTTTATCCGGCTGCTGGGCGACCTTTCCCGGGAAGGAGGCTGTGCCTTCATTCGGTCACGCCCCGGTCTGGGGAGGCTCCTCCCTGGTGCGCAGAAACCGCAGGGGCGGGGAGGAGCCGGGCTCTGCCTGCGCCCGGGGCAGAGCGGGGCTGGCACCGCGCAAGGGGCCCTGTTTCCGGGGAGACTGATTTCGGCCTCCTGACCTCGGGACCCCTTGACTGTGGAGTGTCAGACGGAGGAGGACTTAGTGATCTTGTCCAACCCCCTCCCCGCTTTTCACAGGTTGGGGAGATGGGCGCCTGGAGAATGGAAATCCAGTTATCAAAATTGACTCCAGAAGAGAGAAACTAACAGAACAATAACAATGGAGGAAATTGAGAACATTATCAAAAAGCTATCATCCTGCCAAACTCCAGGCTCAGATTGTCTTACAGGTTAAAAAAAGTTAGTCCTTCATGAAAATGAAAGACCTTAAGCAACACGATGGATTCAGAAGCTCATGAAAAGAGGCCACCAACACTAACATCTTCAGAACAAGATATATCACCTCGTATTACAAATGTTGGTGAAATGAAGCATTACTTGTGTGGCTGCTGCGCAGCCTTCAACAACATCGCAATCACATATCCCATTCAGACGGTCCTCTTTCGACAACAGCTGTATGGCATCAAAACCCGGGATGCAATATTTTAGTTGAGAAGGGATGGATTTCGAAACTTGTATCCTGGAATCCTTCCCCCATTGATGCAGAAGACAGCTACACTTGCACTTACGTTCGGTCTCTATGAGGATTTATCCTGCCTTCTCCACAAGCATGTCAGTGCTCCAGAGTTTGCAACCTGTTGCATGGCGGCAGTGCTCGCAGGGACAACAGAAGCAATTTTCACTCCACCGGAAATAGTTCAGACGTTGATTCAAGACCACAAGCATCATGACAGATTTACCAACACTTATCAGGCCTTCAAGGCACTGAAATGTCATGGAATTGGAGAGTATTATCGAGGCTTGGTGCCCATTCTTTTCCAGAATGGACTCAGTAATGTCTTGTTTTGCGGGCTTTGAGGTCCCATTAAGGAGCATCTGCCTACAGAAACGACTCACAGTGCTCATTTGGTCAATAATTTTATCTGTGGAGGTCCACTGGGTGCCATGTTGGGATTCTTGTTTTTTTCCAATTAATGTAAAAACTCGCATACAGTCTCAGATTGGTGGGGAATTTCAGTCTTTCCCCAAGGTTTTCCAAAAAATCTGGCTGGAACGGGACAGAAAACTGATAAATCTTTTCAGAGGTGCCCATTTGAATTACCATCAGTCCCTTATCTCTTAGAGCATAATCAATGCAACTTATGAGTAAAGGTTATATGAAAAAAACCAACAGTTTAGTGCCATTTATCAACTGAATAGACCTTCTAAGAAGAATGCAGTTTGGCCTCTTTCTTAGTTGGCCAAATACAAGTTGGTGTCATAACTCCAGGCCACAGTGAGTTATGGGCAAAGCTGTTTTGCTTAAGCCTCAATAAAACAGAATAAAAGATTCCAATAGGAAAATATAAGGGATTTTTTTGTTTTGTTTTCTGTTTTTTTTTTTTTTTGATTTTTTTGTTTTTTTTTTTTATCATTACCTAAGAGCCTTAGGCTAATTGCCTGATAAATAGCTGTCCATCTGATGGCCTTTGACAGGGAACCTAATCCCCAAAACAGGATTATTTTTCTCAAACCAGTCTTGAAATCTTCTGCATTGAAACATAAGTGGCTGTGAACGGCCAGAGAGAAGGTCCTCGGGTGCCAGGGGCTCCTCAGGCTTCCTTTGTTACTCCATTGCTTGCGTCTCTGCCTTCAGGAGCAGCTGCAGAGCATAGTCTTCATTAAGCTCAAGCATATGACAATGGGGCAGAACAAAGAAGAAAAACAGCTTATTAGGTGTAGGCGTTTCATGATAAATTGCTTGTATTCGTTTTGAAACTAAGTACCTATTGTATAGTCATTATACTATTTCTGTTTAGATATGGTAGATCAAGGAGTTATGAAAGTTCCCATTTTGCTTTCTAGTTTTGAAAGTTTTCTGTTTGATTCTGACTGTGACCTTCAATGCTTCCAAAATATCCTTATGTTGATTTCACTTATTTCATTGCCAAAAGATGAAGGGACTTAAATGTTGTTATAGGTGTTCCATCTTGTTAAGAAATTTTCATACTAATTGTGTATAGATCAAATTCTGGTTAGCTTGGTTTCTTTGAATTATTGGGGCCATCTCAGCAAAGGTCTGTGGTTATTTTTCCTGTTGAGCAGGAGTTGGTCATACTCAAGCATCCTGTTCCCTTAAAACTCTCCTTTTAAAAGATAAACACTTCCATAACATTTTGTTTTGGAAGTCTGTTAATGCAATCCCACTTTTTTTTCCCCCTAGTTTCTAAATGTTTCAGAGTGGGAAAAAGGCTCAGGATAGTTTTCACAGTGTTGGCTGTCTTTTATTTCACCTTTGGAAATAGAGACTCCATTAGGGTTTTGACATTTTGGAAACCCAATTTTACCGTTGTGTTAGTAAAACAATAAGATAGTTTGAGAGAATATGCTCTAAATGAAGACATTTGAAGAGTTAGTTTGAATTCTAAAAGTAGGCAATAGCCAAATAGCATTCTCATCCCTTAATAGACGAAAACTTCTTTGTCAAAGGAATTGGAAAATGTGAAAATATTTTTTCCAGATAAAGCAAAATGATTCATATGGCACTTCCAATTGACTAATGAAATATAAGAGACAGACTGAAAAAGTGGATTATGAATCTTAAAACCCTTTCTGTAAAGATTTATTTCCAGCATCTGGCATGGTGGTAGGTTTCTTGTTAACCAGTTTTTCTTCTTTCTGAGTAACTGCATGTGAATATTTGCACATACTGACCAAAATAAAATCAGGGCCTCAACTTGGTAGTTTACTGAAAGTTTCTGGGCAAATAGCCCATAAAAGCTGTTTACATCTAAATGCAGTATGGCTGGTTAAATACAGTGAACATCCTTCTTTCAGCTGTAAAGGATGAAGCATATTAAGCATTAGCCAGGCAGTAATGAAGCTAAGTAACCATACAGCACCTCTGTCTGACGATATTGTGCTGGATATTGCAGTTTACATTCAAGGTGTAGAGGTAAGGATTAAAAAATAATAATTTGGCACCAAATAAAGATGAATAGCATCCTTTGACCTATTAAACAGAGTCAGGATTTGAAGGGAGTTGAATTTGAGAAATAAATGAATAAAGGCACCTTGGTGCCTGACCCACTAATTCATGTGCATGACTCTGAGCACTGACAAGCGTATCCAGCTACTCAGCACAGGGCAGGTGGGTTAGCCTGGGCTAATACCTTGGCCCTGGGAATAGACACCATTGGGCCTTTGGTTTGTTGGGCTTCCTTTTGTCTTTACACTCCATACAGATGGTAAAAATCTGAGTTCTAAAGCAGATTTCACTTTTGTGAAATACAAGCTAAGTGAGAATTCTAAGGAAAACTCTTTGGTTTCTGCTGTCTCAAATAAGTGATGTTTAAAAACAATTATTAATAAATACTTTTAATGGTTTTTAACTTAGTATTTTTTTTTATTTCTGTGTCACTCTTTACAGCTTTTGAAGACCAAACTGCAAATACATTACCAGGGATGGTTTTGTGTTGTCCTATAGACTTTTTAAATTTGACAAAAAAATTCAACAGAACTTGTAACCAACAGCTTTGTCTGAGCTTGAAGTCAAAATGTGTTGTTAGTAAGAGATTCTAACTGTTGTTTTTACCTTCAATGTGAACTAGTGTGGTAATAATTTTGAAAAGGCAGGCCGGCACGGTGGCTCATGCCTGTAATCCCAGCACTTTGGGAGGCCAAGGTGGGTGGATCACTTTAGGTCAGGAGTTCGAGACCAGCCTGGCCAACATGGTGAAACCCCATCTCTACTAAAAATACAAAAAATTAGCCAGGCATGGTGGCCAATGCCTGTGATCCCAGCTACTTGGGAGGCTGAGGCAGGAGAATCGCTCGAACCCGGGAGGCAGAGGTTGCAGTGAGCCAAGATCTCACCACTGCACTGCAGCCTAGGCTACAGAACAATACTCTGTCTCAAAAAAAGAAAAAAAAATTAAAAGGGCAAACATGATTGAATATCTGAATAGCTTTAAAAGTGGCCTTTCTGTTACGTATGTGGCACAAATGGCTCATGAGTGCAGGACATTTATGGTCTTGTGTCCTATACTTCATGTGTGATGCCACCAGAAATGTTATGAATTCTGTATTTAACACACTGAGAGTGATATGAGCCTTCATGACTGCACCACAGAGTAAACACAACCTTTATATGGTGGCGAATATGTGTGTCTTTCTTGTTTCATTTGTGGTTGGGGACAAAATCAATGTTTTTGTCTGCATAGTCGATATTCATCTTAACATGGTTGCCAGTATAATCACCGGCTATATTGTGAACTGTGCAATAAAACAGAATCGTGTGTATATATAATTACCTTTGGATAACTGAAATTCCCAAGCTCTGTTACAATGTAATACTCAGTATAAGGTTGTGCAAACATGTAAGGGGATAATGGTGGTCGATGGGATATATGAAATGGGATCTAGAGGGCTTTGAGTGAAGCCAATCATGCTGAACTAACACTGGTTCAGTGTAGATGAAGTAGAGTGAGGGGTATGCAGTCATAAAATGAAGGGTAGACAGGAGATTATATTTGAAGAAAGGGTAAGCACTCAGACTTGGTTTCTTTTAAATTAAAATATTTCTTTTCTCATGTGCAAATGCATATCAAAGACTTGATCAGGCATTCTCTTGAAATTTGAGGATTTTTAGTTTTTAATGCTGTCTTTGCTTAATATTAAATATATGTTGCCTAATGGCTCCCAAATTGTGTAGGAGTCTCTACATGTTTCCTCTTAAAGGTTCATCATTAAAAGTGGTTAAGTGCACAATGCTATTTTTGTTTGATAGTTTGACTTTTATGACCATATGAGTTTAAATGAAATCTGTTAAATGTTTCTGAATTAACATTTTTTAAAAATAATTAGGAACAAAATTTGTTTTTTAAGCCTCTCCCCTCAAAAGAAAAAAAATACCCAAACTTTTTAAAAGTCACCTGTGAAAAATAAATGTAATTAATTTAACACTGCACACTTATTAATTGCTTCAATCTGATGACAATTACTGAAAGACTGTCAACATTATTGTTTCATCTATGGAAATCATATTCTCCTCTGGTCAACTTTGGATGCACCTAATGATATGGGGAATATATTATCTGAAAAATAGAGCCCACATCTGAACCTACAAATACATGACTTAATTTGAAAATTTTTAAATTTTCCACGGGGGTCACATCAGGAGATTGTAGTAATTTACTATCTCAAGAATCTTATTAAGGCAATTCAAACATTGTTTAGTTACAAATCAAAAATAATGAGAGGACATAATTGAAGAACTTTTATCATTCATCTCACTGTGTCAGAAAGATTTCCCAGAAAAATAAGTGAAGCAGATACAATTTATTTCTCATATTTTTCAACATAAGGGCATGTAAACAACATATGTATTTAGATAATTTCAAATTCAAACAACAATAAGATACTACTACAAACCTGTTAGAATGGCTAAAATCCAAAACACTGACAACACCAAATGCTAGTGAGGATGTGGAGCAACAGGAACTCTCTTATATTGTTGGTGGAAATGCAGAATGTATAGTCACTTTAAAAGAGAGGTTGGCATTTTCTTACAAAACTTAACATGCTCTTACCATGTGATCCAGCAATCACACTCTTGAAACTTCTGTCAACACAAAAACCTGCACACAAATGTTTATAATAGCTTTATTTAGAGTTACCAAAACTTAGAAGCAACCAAGATATCCTTCAGTAGGTAAATGGACAAATAAATTGTAGTACATCCAGACAATGGAATATTATAGCACTAAAAGGAGATAAACTATGATACTGCAAGAAGAAATGAAGGAAACTTAAAAGCCAATCTGAAAAGGCTACCTACTGCATAATTTCAACTACATGACATTCTTAAAAAGGTAAAACCATGAAGGCAGTAAAAAAAAAATCAATGATTTACAGGGATTTGCAGGATAAGGAGGGATGCATAGATGGAGCACAGAGGATTTTCAGGGCAGTGAAACTGTTTTACATGATACTAATGTGGAGCATATATGTCATTATACATTTGTCAAGACCCAAAGAATGTACAACACAAAGAAGGATCCATCAGGTAAACTATGGACTTTTGGGTGATAATGATGTGTCAGGGTTGGTTAATTTTTTGTAACAAATATCCGTACTGGTGCAAGACGTCAAATGGGAAAGCTGTCTCTGTGGGTTGTGGAGCAGGGAAGATAGGAAGGGAGATGTGGAAACTCTGTACTAACTTTCTGTTCACTTTTGATCTGAACTTAAAACTACTCTAAATGTAAACTCAATTAAAAAAAATAAGGTCCGGAAAAGGAACTCTTTTTTTTTGTCTTCAATCACAACTTTTTTAGATGCACACGCCATTCAAGTGTATGCATGACTAAAGGGATCAAAGCAAAACTTCGATAATGAATTATAATTTTCACATATCGTTTGATCAGTTGGCACAACTGTGTGTACTGTGCCTGTCTCTCTTTATTATAATTATACTTTAGGACAGCGGTGCCCAGCCTTTTGGACTGGGACTGATTTCATGGAAGACAGTTTTTCCACGAATGGGAATGAAAGGGATAGTTTTGGAATGAAACTGTTCCGCTTCAGATCATCGGGCATTAGTTAGATTCTCACAAGAAGTGTGCCACCTAGATCCTTCACACGGGCAGTTCACAATAGAGTTTTCATTCCTATTGTGATCGCTGCTGCTGATCTGACAGAAGGTGGAGCTCAGGCAGTAATACTGGCTCACTGGCCACTCATCTTCTGGTATGCATCTGAGTTCCTAACAAGCTAGGGACCAGTACTGGTGGTCCATGGCTCAGGGATTGGGGATGCCTGCTTTAAGAAGTGATGTTAGAGGTTGAATTTTTATCAGAGAAGTGGGAATGCCTTAATCTCCTTTTCCTTTCTCTTTAATTTTTTGTTCCTTTCTTCTTTATTTTCCCCTTTTCAACTCATATTCAAATGATTTAAAGCAGTATGTTTATAATTTTTGTTTTTATTTTACATCAAACTGCTGCATTCTATCTAGTGTTTCAAACTTGCATTAGATCAACACAGAATAATAACTTTGGTCTTCATGGACCTCTTTGAGTCCATGGCCAGGTATTATGGGATTGATTAAACTTTTGTAACTTATATTTTTGTTTAAGTGAATATCTACTTTTTCTAAATAGAGGGTCCATATCTTTCATTAATTTTTCAAAGGGACCTAGGACACAAAATTGATTCAGAAATACATGCTGTTGTTCTTTCCTGTGATTTCATTATATTTGCTTTGATAATTATATTTTTATTCAAAGTTTGATACATTATATATGTTGATATAAGAAACTCTAGTTATAATTTGCCTTTCTCAAGTCAAATTGAATTGCAATAAAGAGTGGTTAAGTTCTAGTTATCTGAAGTGACTCCTAACTCTCACTACTGGTGATCTTATCTTCATGGAGAGTAATAATGTTACAAGCAAGAAATTATCAGGTTGGTTCCTAATACATTAGAAAACGTCATCTTTAATTGGTACAAATTTCTAATCTATGAATTTAATTCTATAGAATTATCAGTATCAGATTATCAACAAATAACCTATATTTTAGGAAATGAATTATATTTTAATTCAAATACCTCTGCTTTTAGTATCCACTCAGTTTTATTGTTATTTTATTATATGTATTTCCCTGTAATATATGCCACCTTGTATCCGAATATTTGGATTGCTTTTTAGAGTGTATTTATATAATTTTTACAACATAGTCATTTCAACAATTTTCTTGACTTTAAAAGATTCTAGGAATGCTCAAAATTTAGGTTCAAAAATTATTAGTGACCTGCCAATGTAAGAAAAATGGTACTTCTTTACTTATAATGTTTGTAGTTTTGAAGGTAAAATGTTTGATAGTTCTGAAACCCATTTAGAAAAAAGCATTTTAATAATTGAAAAATTTATAAATTACTCTCTGTAACAGTGCTATGTCTAGATCTCTTTGTGTTCATTTAACAAAAAAGAATGGTGTGTCATAAAAAGTTTCATTAAATGCCTCTTGTCAGCCAGATTCCTAAATGTACTAAGACAATAATCTCAATAGAAATTACTGACAGGACAGTCTGAATATTAGGGCTGCTTTGTATTCTGCTAATTTCAAAAGATATGTAGCTCAAGTGCAAGCATTCTATTGTATTCCAAATGAAAGTGGCCAGGATCCTACGGGGACATTTAATAAGCTCAAAAAAGCCTATATTATAACTCATTACAACCATAAAAATGGAAAAGAATATTTCTACTACTGTTTGCCTACTGTTTTCATTCTGCAATTCTCCAACTACCCGAGACTATTAAAAATGAAGAAAAAAATTTCTGTGCATTCTGAACCTCTGAAAATTAAAATTATATCTAAGGTTTTACATTCTATTAAGCATCTTACCTTAGTTCTTAATTAATTTATGAGGAGGCCATTTCAGCTATTTTGGTAGAAGCTTGAAAAATTGATTTGTGATACTCCATTTTGTCTATTTCATTTGCTGGTTGTATTGTTATATGCAGATCAGTTGACTGTGCCTGCCTCTAGAATAAAAGTTTCAAGTTGTATTTATGTAGCAAGTTGGCACACTTTATACTATTTCAACAGTGGTGGATAAACTTAATAGTATTTCATAATCATTTTCAAATTATTTACTGAGATAAAATAAAATAAAAATTAAAAATTAGCATGATTGTGTAAAATCATTTTGATATAATGTATTCTACCTCAAAAAAGTTACATTTTTAAAAATAAATACAAGATGTAGA
Source organism: Homo sapiens (assembly GCF_000001405.40). Classification (NCBI taxonomy): domain Eukaryota; kingdom Metazoa; phylum Chordata; class Mammalia; order Primates; family Hominidae; genus Homo; species Homo sapiens. The sequence goes on from NT_187555.1 coordinate 22,074, forward strand.
GAATCTGTACAACTTTATTTTCATAATTTCTATTTAAGTACTTTTTACATGATCTATAAATATTTTTAAACTCTGTTGTATTATTGGACAAAAATAAAATCTGAGGAGACAAGTACATTAGTATAATAATATGATGATTAAATCCTTATCTTTAAAATAAAATTCAAGGCCATTGTAGATCATGGAAGACATCCAATAAGTTATAAATAGCTATGAAACAGAGTATTTGCTCTCAGAAACAAAATGTAGTAACATCGAGCATAAATAAAATATTAAAATTAAAAATATTAAAGAGTTAGAAAGATTGCACCATATACAATTAATTAACAAATTAAAATTTCAGGCAATAATTCTCTGAGAATGGCAATAACTCAAGGAACTAAATAGTTCTGGAATGACTTCAGGGAAAGTGGTTGGACTTCAGTTAGGCCTTGAAAGATTTATAGGTTTGGACGATGAAGTTGAATGGTGGTGACAAACAAATGTTATTAAAAGAGAAGTGCAAAGTCAAAATTGTGCACAATATTTTGAAATTTTTTTAAAAAATTGATTAAATCAGAGTTTGAGGCTACAAGTAGTAGAGGCCACAATTTAAAAGATACAGTGAGATAAAATAACAATGCTTTAAATAATTAACTAGTTTACACATGACATTAAAAGCAATAATTTAATTCAAATAATTAAAATTTAATTATTATAAATAATAATTTAATTCAAATAATTAAAATTTTTTGAATAAGTGAGTGGCATGATGAAAAAATATTCTTTCAGACAATTTAAAAAGAATCAGTTTCATAGGAAGAACTGAGCATTGTAACAGTCATATATTATTTATCTGTATTATGTATCCTGTTGATTGTTATTCTCTAGATATGTGGTAAAGCAATTTATTTCAAATATCATTTACTATCCCAGATGTTGGTAGTTTTTGTATACTGTGAGTTTGGCATGAGAATATGCAACGAATAGGCAAAAATTCAGCACAAATATGACAGGGTTACTTAATATCACAATCTTTACTCCATCTTTTTCCAGATATTTTAAAAACAACTGCAAAAGATGAATTTGAATTGAAATTCTCAGGCGGTGTGGGGATGGAGCAAAATTGGCTGGAGGACTGTGGAGGCAATTCAAATGAGATAAACGAATGTGTTCATTGGATCCATGGTAGGATTGAGATGGAGAAGATAGACTTGAAATACATTGTAGAGACAAAGAGAACAGAAGTCTGGATTAAATGGATGTGGCAAAAAGGGAGAGGGATGAGATAGAGTGAACTCAAGTATTCTAGCTTGAATAACAGACTGAATGATCATGCCACCAAATGAAAGGTTAATTATTGAAGTTGAGATTAATTTTAGGAGAAATGATAAGTACTTTTTCAGTATGCTGTGCTTAGAGAAAATTGTGGCGTGAAGAAAACTCTGGGAACCCTCAACAGTTAAGAGATAATTATTGGAAGAAGCTATGAGGAAGACTGAACAGGAGCAATTATAGAAAGTTATGAGGAGAACCAGGAGAGCACAGATCTCATGTGAGTTAAAAGAGGAGTGTTTCACTGAGAAACCAGTGATGAATGATGTTGAATGTGGTAGAGATGCCCCATAATATAATGTCTGCAAAATAATGAAGCATTCTAGTGAAGTATTAATTTAATGAGGCCCTTAGGTACAGTTTATAGGAAATTGGTGAATGTTTTTCTTTGAGGAAAAAAAAAATCCTTGATTTATATTCATTACAATGCACTGCAAGGATAGGATGCTCTATTTATTGTAATAAATTGTCTCTAGTGCACATTGAACTTCCCAGTTAATTAAATAACACCATAATTCATTTCTATTTATGTTTTAGTGTTTTCCCTGGTGGAATCTAAAACATCCTTAATATCTTGGATCAGAATGTATAGTGCATTTTTGGAGCTACATTAACTCTTTCCTCTTCAATCAATGCATCAAAGGCAATAATACACATGGTAAAGCCTACAGATGGAGGCAAATGGGGCTCATCGATCTGTATGATCAAGGACAGTTTTACATTAATTGTAAAAATGACCTCCTAAGATAGTCAGTTCTCTTAATGTGTAAATTACTTCCTGCGAGAATTGAATCATTTTTGAGTCAACAGTAATGTTTGCAGGTCATGATTAGTTATTGACATAGGCCAAGTTTACATGATATCCACAAAAGAAATGTTAAAAAGAGAGAATAGTGGGACTTTAATTCATACAGACATATTAGCATGTATAAATTTACACACACACATGTACACACACACACACACACAGACATAATTAGAATGTAAGATAACAAGGTTCCAAATTTCCTGTTCTCTTCTAAGTTTCTTTGTTCATTACCTGATTGAATAGTAGATAACAAATTGATTTAACAAACATACATTGATTGTGTACTATGATCCTACACTATTCTGTACTCTGGGGATACAGCAGGAAACATAGCTTATATTTCCCCTCATCATAAGGCTTATAATTAGTAGGCATTAAAAATAAATAGAATAAGTAAATAGTAATATTAGTAAGTGGCATGAAGGACCTAAAATAGAGGAATTTAACAGAAAGTAATGGGTTGATAGTGTTTAATGTAAGTTGGATAATATATTTTAATTGCCCATTCATCATCCACCCTGTTACTCCACCTCCACATAACCCCAGTAATTATGTGTCTAACCTCCTGACCTCTTGCAAACACTGGTCACAGGGGAAGATTATTCCTTTTAGAGCTCCAGCACACAGACAGCATGTAGTTGAGTACTAGGTTAATACACCAAGGTGTCTGAATGAAAAGTCTGTACTGTTAACCAGTATTTTGTTTCTAACAGGCCAGACATCTATCAATAACAATAAATGAAAGAACTCCTCCTTAACTTGAATATTTTGAAATGTAAAAAAAAAGAAACTATGTGTTTAAAGCTAATAATAACTTTGAAAACTTATAAAGTGATATTAATTTTCATTAAGGACATATGACACTTATTTTTCTGTATTTTTCATATGGTATGTTGATACATTTTTGTCCCTTTATAGTTCTGTAGTGGAGATCATTTCCTTGTATTAGGCCTGCATTAATATTTTAAAATAATATTATCTCTATATTGCTTTACATATTTTATTAAAATTATCTATAATTTGTGACACATAGAAACAGGCCACAGTTTATTAAAATTTATTCTACTAACAATGCTACGTATTGTTAGAGCTTCTACCCAGTAAAAAGTCTAAAACTAATAATAATTGGTGAACAACCCATTGTTTTTCACTTTTATGATAATATAGCTTTCCACAGATTCTATCTTTTGTTCATGTGTATTCTCTGCAATCCCTGTAGCAGCAGAAGAGTTTATGCTACTTGGTGAAAAAGTAACTTCCAGTTTCAGTTAGTTGAATAGAAATATGAACTCTGTCGCACTTTCTCTGTAATACTGCTCAATATTCCCTCTGATAACAGCAAGGTATGGGTTTGCTGTTTACTCATTTCTAATATGCAGAGTACACTAAGGTCTAGAAGAAAGAAGAGGTTACTGAGAATGAAGGAGTTGTGGACATCTATACACTTTAACAATGAAAGTACCTCTCTTCTTTAAAGGATTTCAAATTTATGCCATTAAACCTGTCTGTAAAACTAGTTTACATATGTGATTTTGTATGTGGTCAAGTTAGCATTAGCTCTATCAAACTCCCCCATTTTCTGTCTTCTGACAACAGGCTCTTGTTTTAAGACCATGGGAGTAAGCATAAATGTCAGTGGAACTATTCACTGTTTCTTGGATTCACTTCCATTACTGGCTGCAATTCTTTACTCCTTCTGGATTCATACTCTTTGCTATGTGATACTTTAGTTCCTTTACAAGAAGGAACTTAAAGAAGTGCAGTATATTTACTATCATTTCAGTTAACTTTGGATTTAGTCATGTGAATTGCTTTGATGAATAAAATGAAGTAGAATAGACAGTGTGCTAGATAGAATCCTAGACCCAAAGAAGCCTTGCATGTTTCTTCTTGCCATCTTGTGACTCTGCCATCACCATGAGAAGATCATGTCTAAGCTAGAAGGAGGATGACAGATGTGTGGAGCAGAGCTGAGCTGACTAGACCAGATGAGCTATCCTTTGGACTTGTGAGCTTAATAAATGCTGGTGTATTGAGATGTTATGGTTGGTTCTTTATGCAGCATTATTTGGTTTACAGTTAAGTGATACACATCCCATATACCTAGTCTCGATTATAAGTTAAATATGAACAATGCAACAGAAGTAGGCTAATCTGAGTCCTTCCCTAGCATTTTATATACCAAAACGTAGAAAAATAATCCTTCATCATCTAGGATCACTATGGTATATGGATCTTGAATATTTTTATGGACCCTGTAATAAAGAGAAAAGAACCCACAGTAGTGGAAAATGATGTTGACCAAAAGGGATAGGCAGAGTTAGAGACAGAAAAAGAGAGATTTCCAACATTTGTGTCCCTGGAGTCTGTTATTCTTAATACCATTTCCATTCTCTTTTTCAGTGGTGAAAAAGCCTGAGCAATATTGCAAGACACACACCACAAAATGTGAAACTTCTTGGGTTAAGGCCCTGAGAGTTGCCAGATCCTGAGCTAGAAAGATAAGTTTCCTCTGTCTTTCCTCTGCAAGAGATTCAAACCAATGACTGCTCGGTGCTTTAATCTTTTCCTCTCTTATTTACACTATGTTAATGATGTTTTATTTTTAAGTCTTTAGAGCATCTAGAATTATATTATTTATATATAATATGGAACTCAAATTTTATTTAGTCCATGTGTGTAGACAATCATCCTAATATAGTTTGTTAAACAGAATGTTCTATATCTTCAAAATGACAAACTTGTAATATATTAAATATCATATATGCTCAGGTTGGTTTTGTTTTTCAATTGTCTGTTTTATCTTTGCCCTGCCTTCAGCTGATACCAATTGTTTTAAGTACTGTATTTTTGTACTTGATAGACATGTTTATACATATTTATACAAATATTTGTTATGATCATTTCTCCACCATTCTTCTTTTTCACTTTTAAAAATATTCTTAATAATTTCTCTTGGCTAAATTTCAGAGTCAGCTTGACAAGTTATTTACAAGGTTTTCTGTGTTGAATTTATAAACTACTATGGTGACAATAGATGCTTTTATAATATTAAATCTCCACATCCAGGAATATATTCTCGCCATTCCTTCAGTTTATATTTTATTTTCTTTTGTAGCCTCATAGATTTATTCATGTCATTCTTACACATCATTTCTTAAAAAGAATTACATTTGGAAAACTTAGTAGAAAAATGGTGATTGAATTTTGTCTGCTACCTTTTGTGAGCGAAGCAATGTACAAGAATACAACAGGCTTCAACTTAACGAGGCCATTTGAAAGCAAAAAAAGAGAGAGGGAATTATATCACTTTTCTAATAAAGGTTATTTTGCCTCTGGTCAATGCTTCTAGATAGCTGACAAGTGGGGAGACTAGAAATAGTGATATTTGGGAAAGCCAGAGGGATATGGGGAAACCTAGTTCTTCCAGACTTATTCTTAAGCTATTCCCTTGTGAATTATTCTTCCAATAAATAAAATCCACTTGGAAGTATCCTGGGGGACATAAAGCCAATTAATACTGTTTTTCCAAGGGAGTATGTTGTTTCATGTTAGTCTATGGTAGAAACCAAGACAGAAACTGTTGATTAGAAAGATGTGTGGTTGATGGGAAAGAAGAAAATCACAAGTTTAGCATCCAGACTCAAGCATTGCTGTCTCAGCGAGAAGTCTAATACTGAATGTTTGGCAGTGGAGCCCTCCAGATTGAAAATGACATATGGTCATTTAAGTGTTAAGGGACAGGTATTGAGAAACCTCAATTCCGGCCAAAATGAGTCCAATATTTCTCAATACATAACACATCACCTTTGTGCTTAAAACTGGTTCATGGGAACATAGATATCTATATGATATTACTTTCAAAATAAGAATCTGTTGTCCAGTTTAGTGTCATATGGACAGTACCTAAAATAACACTCAAGCTAGGAAAACACAGCTAAAAGAAACTTTTCAGCCTATAGCTCTCTCCACCTCCAGGAACATGATTAAAAAATGGATGCACTATCACATCTCTGACTGACAGTGTATGGAATATTTTTTCTGCCTATTATATTGCTTCCTATTTCCCTATTTTTTAATAAAAATTTTATGATGATTATGATTGCATTTTGTTCTGTGGTGGAAATTTTTGTCATTTGTTAAATAGTTTGCCATGTCAAGAGAAGACAAAAATTATGGGTCCAAAGATAGAATGCTGGGGAAAAGTTTTACTGTTAAGTAGAAAACCCAGGTTAGGATATATGAGATGAGGGTAAAGAATGGAAACAGAGTGTGTTCTTTAAAAGCAGAAACAAAAAAACAGTCTCTATCCCATGTTTATAAAACAAAGTCTCAGAGTGATGCTGATTGGCTGATAATATTTGGACAAAATGCTGAACATCTGGATAAGTTCTTGTTTGCAATTTTTCCAAGAAATGGTCTTTACAGTTCACATGAAATGACCAATACTGGTTTATGAAACTTTTGTCATTTTAGAAAAAGTAAAGTTTGATGTAAGAATAGACATTATAGGTAAATGAAATAGAATAGTGAGTTCAAAAATAGACATATACAGTATAGTCATTTGATTTTTGACAATGTTGTCCAAGTAAATTAATGGGAAAAGAGTAGCTTTTCTTTTTTTTTTTTATTATACTTTAAGTTTTAGGGTACATGTGCACAATGTGCAGGTTAGTTACATATGTATACATGTGCCATGTTGGTGTGCTGCACCCCGTAACTCGTCCTTTAACATTAGGCATATCTCCTAATGCTATCCCTCCCCTCTCCCCGCACCTCACAACAAGCCCCGGTGTGTGATGTTCCCCTTCCTGTGACCATGTGTTCTCATTGTTTAATTCCCACTTATGATTGAGAACATGCGGTGTATGGTTTTTTGTCCTTGTGATAGTTTGCTGAGAATGATGGTTTCCAGCTTCATCCATGTCCCTACAAAGGACATGAACTCATCATTTTTTGTGGCTGCATAATATTCCATGGTGTATATGTGCCACATTTTCTTAATCCAGTCTATCATTGTTGGACATTTGGGTTGGTTCCAAGTCTTTGCTATTGATATCATCTTCATTACAGTAACTTTATTATGTTTTGAAATCAGGTAGTGTAAGTAGTCTGTTTTGCCATTCTTATTAAAAATAATCTTGGTTCTCTATTGCTTTTGTATTGTTGCGTAAATTTAAGAATCAAATTGCCTATTGTTACAAAAATTATGTGTCAAGGTTGATTGTAATGTTTTTGGTGTATATTTCACTGTGGGGAGAATAAACATCCTAATAATATTAAAAAAAAGAAAAAATAAAGTTTGTACTTTTATTTGTAGATTAGGCAGCTGTGTTCAGATTAATTAGACGTATCACAAAGTGACACACCTAAGTTTGATTAAACAGGAGGTTCTTTATTCGCAAGTTCTCTACTCATAGCTGTATACAGTAGTTAAGCATGAGCATGTCCCTTGGGAAAGGAAGACTACTATTTGCAGTTTTATGTGGGGGTTTTATGTGGGGCTATTTTATGTGAGATGCCTGGATATATTTTGGAAATATATAAAAACTCTATGGAATTCAATTCCAAAGGGACAACCAGAGAGCTACTATATTATTATTATAATTATTGTTTGTTTGTTTGCTTGCTTATTTCTTATTTGTTTTTATAGGTTTTACCTCTAGGCTTCATCTCCACCTTTCTTGCAGTAATAGCACCTGTCTTCCTGAGCATGGCAGGGGATAGGTAATCTAGACTGGTATAATTATATTTTTCAAATTATCTGAGCAAGATGATTGGGCTGAGAATAGCATGTATGTCAATAACTCTCCGAGATTTTATATAGTGAAATCACTTGTTTATTCACTAAACAGTTTTTAGTACCCACTATGTTACAGATAATGTTCTTGGTACACTAGGAACATAGCAGTCACTAATAAAGATAAAGAAAATTGTTATCCTCAGGGAGTTCATATTTTTGTGAGAAGATGCAGATAAAAATTAAAATATGTATATATATGTTTGTGTGTGCATGCACACACACGTGTATATATATGGAGAGAGAGAAGTGTTATGAAAAAAATAATCAGGAAACAAGGTAGGAGATTCTGAAGAGAAACAGAAAATTTCAAATTTAAAGGAAGTGTGTGCCATACTAAGAATGTGAAATATGAATGAAACCTTGAAGAGAAGGACAAGAAACATTTTGGATATTTGAATCTGGATGAAATAAACCTCTTTAGTATTCAATGCAAATAACTGTGATGTCTGATATTTTACCAAATTTGCAAGCTGACGAGTTGCCTGCCACAGTTTTGTGAATGCTGCTATGATATACAAGACTCCTGGATTAGAGACAAAGGGCCATTTGTTACTCAGAGCAATAGCAGTGGTCACAGAGTCATCATTTTTGCATGTTTTCTCAAAGTCCTAATTCCCCTATGGTGATAGGAAGAATACCAGATTATATCTGTAAACAAGTAGGTGGCATTACAGAACAGGAACTCCAAGTTTAATAATAACAAATATTTTATGATGGTCCTAAGCATGCCTTATCCTTGTTCTAGAGGGAGACACTATCTCCATTTTCCAAGGCTGTTCACTATACAAACATTCTAGAAATAAGTGTTTAGAACCAAGGGTCATCAGTGCTTCACTCTCTAACACATGCATAAAAAGGTTAGATCTATTCCTGACTTTACATTATTTTAAGATACAAAACTACACAATCTTCTTTGCTTAAACTAGCTGAAGCAGTTTGACTTACATTTCAAATGATTTAGCCTTCATCTATCTATCTATCTATCTATCTATCTATCTATCTATCTATACGTCTTTCTATCTATCTATATCTATCTAGCTAGCTAGCTATACATGTTTACATATGTTTGTGAATGCTTAAACTCTTTTTTAAAGTATAGCCTGTGATGACCCATGATTTCTTTATGAAGTATCAATGGACATCTTCCCATCACTCTAAAAATATCCAATTGTGTTATTAAGTGAATCGTCACTAGTGTGTATTAAATATTCGCTGATCCATATTCTTTGCCAACCAGCCTAACATCAGGCTTTTTAGGAAAGTCTTGGTATCTATTCAATGTATGCCTTACTTACTGCTTTTATCATATTTTAGGTGACTCAGTCCTGTAGAACTAGCAATTTCAAATTATAGTCAATTTTCTTTAGACATATAAAATTAAAATTGATCACATAATTTTAGCACATAGTAGCTCTCATGCATTTTCCAAAGGGCAATATTAAAAATATATATTTTAAAAATTATTAACGTATTTTAAATGAGACGTCCGTGAGTAATTAAAATGCCAACTTGGAAGAGTGGAGACAAAGGTTCTTCAAGGCCAGTTATATCCTTGTCTTCATAAAAAAGATTTATGGACATCACTACTTGGGTATATGCTAGTGTCATATGTTACATTATCTAAGTCAAATTCCAGGGTTAAAATCCCAGCTGTACAGCTTACTAGTCTTATAACTTCAGATAGTTGATTTAACTTCTCTGTTCCTCCATTTCCTCATCTATGAAAAAGGAATAATGATATTACCTACCTCCAATGGTTACTATAACAAATACATAAGCTTTTTCCCCCTGTAATTTAGAATGGAGCTTACCACATAGAAATGATGCAATAACTTTGTGTTGTAAATCTTGTATTTTATCTCATTCCTTTGTGACCATATACATACATCTATGAAATGGCCACAATTATATTGCCACTTATGGATGTTGAAGTCTTTTTCTTGAAACAGTTAAGTATCCCGTATGGAAATTGAACACACCATTCACTTTATTTGAATCTGGCTAAACCCAGATTAGCTAAATTGGCCTGGATACCAAGTTGGCTGTAGTGGGCAAGTCATAAAGCAAGGGCATCCATTTGGATACTGCAGTCTCATGAATTACTGACTTCAAAGTAAACACATGAATGCTGCTCTGTGTCATTGTTTTACATCAGGCATTTCTATGTTAAATTATTATTATTCTAGAGAGTTCTTTTCTGTATGGAACAATTTTATTTATGTTGCAAATATAATAGGCCTATAGTGGGCAGGGTAATGTAGAACTGTACCGAGGGCATAATGCTGCGATTCTTGTGGCTTGTTAAGATCAGTGGGTGCACACAGAGACAATAGCACTAAGAAAATGATGAGATGATTATTACGTGTTTTAAACCACAGTTAATTACACAAATTACACCTATTAAGTGAAAGAGAATTAACCATTCGCTTTGTATGCACCTATTTGTAGCAATAGGTAGCTTGGTAAATATAGCAAAACAAGGAATTAAAAAAATACCTATTGTCTCAAAAATATCACAAGAACCAGACAATATGGTTTGGTCCCTATCACTATTAGGTATATTCATATTCACTCCTTTAGTTCATTGTAAGAATGAGAAAACAGTGGGTATCAATAAAATAGCACAAACTAAAAGTTAGTTAATATAGCAAAATGTAAAACACACATAGTCTCTTTCACATTATTCAAAGTTCTGGAACTTAATAATAATATAATCATTTTACCACACTTACAAGTACTGTTAAAACCTGTCTGGAACAGGGTTCTGGATTTTATAACCTGTGTAATAGCTAGGAGTAAGGAGAGACATTGCAAAAATAACCGAAAGATTTGAAGTTTGAGTAAGAATAAATAAGGAGGTAAGTAAGAACAATTTTGACTTTTTTAGCCAGGAGAAGAAAAGAGGGGTTAATAAAATATTTCATTTGTGGGAAACTAATGCAGTATTTCCCATGCATGTTTGCTGTACTTAATAGACCATGACAGCCTTAAGATTGTAGGCTGTCTACTATTTTATGACAATTTTGATGAGTATCTTTTTTTCTCCCCTAGAATGAGTATCTGGAAAACTTAATATATCACATATGTCCAAGGTAAGTGACAGATATTCTGCCATCACCATTAAAATTTCAAATGTTTCCTATGTCGTAGAAATCAGCAAACTTTGTCTCAAAGCTTCCATGAATATAAGGCACTGGGCTCAAGAAAGCTGGGAATTTAAGATAGGTAAATAATGCCATGGAGGCCAAAGCTCAGGATTTTAAAGATGATGGTTATCAACTTGCATTAGCCAATTTGCCCATATTTAAAACCTAAATTTACCTGTATCCTGGATGTGATAACATTTGCTGTTCTCCCAAGTGGCTTAAAACCTTTTCCCCTTTGTGTTGAGCAGGGCTCTGTGCCTTTCCCACAGCTATGTCACTCCCCTCTTTCAAGCTTCCACCATTGAGGAAAGAATCATTTCTTCATAGCTTCAAATAGATATTGTTGTAATTCTACTCAAAATTATCTAAAGTCTTCTTATTTCAGTGAACACAAAGGTAAAAATTTTAAATGGCCTGTAAGGACCTATATAATCAGGCTCCATTCCCTATATGAGCTGCTCATCATTTAGTCACCCCATTGCTCCTGCTGTCTAGCCAGAGGACTTCTCACTATTCATAAAACAGGGTGAACAGTTCCAAGCTCACCTTTGCACATGCATTCTCAATGAGGACAATTCTCATCCCTCTCACGTCGACACAACTCATTACTTTTCTTCTTTCAGCTCCTGCTCAATGTCTCCTAAGAATGAGACCTTCGAAGACCACCCTACAGAAAATAGTAAGCCACCCCCTGCATACGCTATACCCTTACATGCTATACAATTATCTAGCAGACTTATCACCATTTGAGTAACTATATATTTATTTCCTTTCTTTTTACCTCTGCCACACATAAATTGCATGAAGATAATTTTTGTATGTTTTGTTTACCCCTGTATGCCCAGTACTTAAAACTATGCTAGGCTAGGCATAGAGTAATTCTTCAATATTTATTTATTTATATTTGGTTTGTTTCTTTGTTTGAAATAAGACCTTGCTCTGTCATCTGAGCTGGTGTGCGGCAGCACAATCATAGCTCTACTGCAGCTGTGAACTCCTGGATTCAAGTGATCCTCCCACCTCAGCCTCCTGAGTAGCTAGGACTATAGGCATGTGCCACCACACTCGGCTGATTTTTAATTTTTTCTGCATAGATGAGTCTCACTATGTTGCTGAGGCTGGTCTCAAACTATTGACTCAAATGATCTTCCTGCCTCAGCCTCTCAAAGTGTTGGGATTATAGGCGTAAGCCACCACACCCAGCCTTGTCTGTTGAATAAATGAAAAATTGGAATAACAAATGAATGGTATTATCACCACTTACGTATTTGTCCGATTTTCCTTATTAAAATTCAACTCCAAGAGGGCAATTTCTTTTTTAGGTATTTTAACTAAACAAGCAGTGACTAATTTGTGTCTGTTAACTTTTGAATTCTTTTTGGTTTTGTTTTGTTTTGTTTTTTTGAGATGGAGTCTCACTCTGTAACCTAGCTGGAGTGCAGTGGCGTGATCTTGTCTCACTGCAATCTCTGCCACCTGGGTTCAAGCGATTCTCCTGCCTCAGCCTCCCGAGTAGCTGGGATTACAGGCACCTATCACCGTGCCTGGCTAATTTTTGTAGTTTTTAGTAGAGACGGGGTTTCTCTATCTTGGCCAGGCTGGTATTGAACTTCTGACCTCGTGATCCACCCGCCTCGGCCTTCTAAAGTGCTGGAATTACAGGGGTGAGCCACTGCGCCCGGCTGACATTTGAATTCTTGACAATAAAGGGCAAAAATTAAGGAATACAATGAAAATATAAATGGTTTGATTGCATTTCAAGATAGTTCAGATAAGAATAGCTCTAGTCTTAATAAATAGACTCAAGAGCACAATGATAAGAATGTGGAGGGTCAATATATCATAGTATAATCACTCAGTAATTAACAAGTACTTATTGAATGCTATGTTATGATAGACACTGTGACATACTCTAAGGATATAATGGGAAGGAAGACATTATCTGCATTCTCAAAGGGCTTGCAGTAAGCCGAGGATACAGAAAAGTAATCAGGTGGCTGTTATCGTCTGATAAGATGTCCTGTAGGAGGACACCTACTAGTCCAGTCATGGAGATAAAGGGAGTGAACCTGAAGGTCGTCATATAAATTATCATATAACACATTTTATGAATGAATAGTGTGGTTGCAGTTAAGCGTGAAATATTTTGAAATATATATATATATATTTTTTTCACACACTGAACTTTTACTATTGTTAAGTTAAAAATAAAACCATGGGGAGAAAGAATGCAGCAAAAGGAAAATGTGTTGTAAAACTATAAAGATAGAAGTGTAGTACTAGACTAAACAGAAATCAAAAACATAAAATTTAAACTAACAGTTGAGAGAAATTCCAAACGGATTTAAACAATATACTTCAGAAAGGGTCAGAAATTTTCTCTGAGAGTAGTAGTTCAGTTAAGGTAGAAAACAGGTGCCTTAGTTAAATTTCTCTATACAAAACAGTTAGACAACCTGATCCTCTTCCCAGCCTGAAAATTTGGACAATTTTCTCTCTTTCAACCTAATGTAACAGATTAATTTGGGACTCAGAAAATCTAGGTTCAGCAGAAGGAAGCATAGGTACTATATTAAAGATGGATTAAATAAAAGTCTATTTATTAAGTGGCATAATAATATTAATTATTTCTCCAATTAGACTCTAAGAACACTAGAAATTGGGCTTCTGCATCCTATGCAGGAATTTGTCAGGTTACTCTTTGGGAAAACTGACTAGGACCAAAGAAAAAGCTTATAATACTGAAATGACCCAGCCACAATAACCAAAAATAAAGCCATTGACTTCAGAAAGAGTTTCTTAAAAAAAAGAAAAAAAAGTTTTAGTTGTTGGATACTGTCATCCAAAAACTAAAATAAAACAAAGATATTTTAATTTTTGGATATTATCATCTGACAATAGTAAAAATAGCTTCAAAATTCAAATAAAATTATTTCTACATAGAATTATACCCAGATAAACTATTAATCATGGGTGAGATTTGGAGGACATTTCCAGGCATACAAATTATTAGAAACTAATATTCTATTGCATGACTGGAGGCTGTGGCTTGTGTTCCACCAAAACAAGGGAGACATTTGAATACAGAGGAAGATCTGTGATGCATGATATAGTGGATCCATCTCAGAAATTAGACAAAAGAAATTTTCTGGATAATTGAGGCTGACGAAAAGTCCACAGATGAGATCTGTGCCATGGTCTGGTAGATGACATAGCCAGGATTGGAGCAAGAAAACAAAGAGCTGCAGAAGGGACACTTTCAAGAAGAAGATAAAACTGTACATGATCTGATTTATTTGAGTGTATTTCAAGGAGATGCATTATTCATAGGTACATTGAAAAATAACCAAATGAATAAATAAAATGCTTGTTCATTTCGGGCAAAAAAAATCAAGATTTTATTTAAAAAATAAATAAAATAATATACTACATAACTGCTAGTGTTATTTACATAACTTTTTTTTTTTGAGATGGATTCTCGCTTTGTCACCCAGGCTGGAGTGCAATGGCACAATCTTGGCTCACTGAAGCCTCCTCCTCCCAGGTTCAAGCAATTCTCCTTCCTCAGCCTCCAGAGCAGCTGGGATTACAGGCACATGCCATCCCACCTGGCTAGTTTTTGTATTTTTAGTAGAGATGGGGTTTTACCGTGTTGGCCAGGCTGGTCTCGAACTGCTGACCTCAAGTGATCCACCTGCCTTGGCTTCCCAAAGTGCTGGGATTACAGGAGTGAGCCACTGCGCTCGGCCTATATAACTTTAATAATGTTAAGTACTGGATATTTTTAACCCAAAAATTAAATAGAAAGGGAAGGGCAAGTGAGGTGAGGGGAAGAAGAAGTTAGTGAGTGATATCTATAATGTAAAAATCAACAACAGTACACTTTAATTATTTTAAAATGTAATGAAAAAAATTTACACATAGCCAAATGATTTGAAAATAATTGTTGGTAGTGAATAGAAATAGGAGTGAGGAGGAGTGAGGCAGAGATTACTGCTTTCCATTATAAGGCAGGTTGAATTTTTTGTAGACTTATAACTTGTGTAACTATAAAAGCAAAATAAAAATAAATAGAAGCAGTTCATGGAAAAGACAGTGGTCAATGGTTCAATTCATCAACATATTGAGAAAAATCTATAAAGGTAAAAACATCATGAATGAGTTTGTAAGGCATGTTAAAAATGTTTTAAGCTTTATTGTAGATTGTATCAGTAGGTTGCCCATATTCACACAGCATTTTTCTCTACACACTAAATGGGTATACTGCAAAAACCTTTAACTCTTTTCTGAGGGGCGTTTGTTATTCTTTACTGATCTTAGGACAAAGTTATTCCATTGTCCAGGAAAATCTGAGTTCCTAAGGTTAATTTCCTCAGAAACAGCTATCAAATTGGATGAATGGAAATTTGATTAAAAGATAATCCAATCTGTTATCAAATCTGTTTGGTGTGCTACATTGATACCTTGCCCTGCCCTGGCCCCACCGCCAATAATGCAGATCTCCCAGAATACTCACACTTATGAGGTCCTGTCCTTAAATCTAGCCTGGCTTTGAAAATTTCCCTAACCAATAGGGGAAATTATATAAAGCTGAGGAATCATCCAATCGAGTCCAGTTGACTGAAAAATATCACAGAAGAAAATAAAGTTGTTTTAAGTCTCTACTTCTACATTTTTAATGGGTTATTACACAGTCATACATAATTAAAACACTAGGTGTTTTCACTGCTCAGTTGAAAAAACCTCCAAGGCATTTTCTACATTATCTTTCAGTTTCCTAGGAGAATGAAAGCTTCAGTTGCATGCAAAGGCAACAGACTTGTTAACAGATTCTTTTTTAGGTTACCTCCCTTCCTTGCCTTTATTCCCCAGTCTTCTGTATTTGTTTTCTGGGATCACCTCCCAAATGTAAATCCTTGTTTGAGGTTCTGCTTTTGAGATAAAACCAAGTAAGGCAAGAAGCGTTATTGAAATGATACATTATGACAAATTCACAGTTCGGTAATAGAAAATCACTTTCTATTTAGGAAAAAGGTTTGGAAGACATGTGTAGAAAAGGACATCAGGTAGAATGCTATTGTAGTAATCCAGATGAAAAAGGAAGATGTGCTGAGATGAAATAATAAGATGATGCAAGTAGACGATTATGAAAGATACTTCAGAGGTAGAATCCATAGTTATTGACAATAGTTTTGGATGTCAGTGATAAGTAAAAGCTGAGAAGACAAGGGTATCACTCTGCCTTAGGCAACTGAATTGTTGGGGAGAGGATAAAGGAGGAGGGCCAGATTTAGGGGGAAATTTCATATACTCAAAACTGAATGTGTTTAATAAAACTACCTATGGAACACCCAGCAGGCAGTTGATCATATGTGTTATACGGTACTGGGGTGTGATGTAGTGATCTGAATGAACTGAAAATAGTAAATTAAAGATCTCCAGGATTTAAGTGGTAATTGAGTAATAATTTTATATGAGATATCTCAGGGTAATAATAATGATAGGTGTTGTATGATAACTTCTAATTTACACAGTAATTTTACATGTACATTTTGGCTGTAAGGCACTGAATATAGCACTAGAAATGGAATTAGAACTTTTAGATTGTGTAGTAGGACATCAACAGGTATTCCTATTAGTTTATGGTGGCTCCTTACCCTAAGCCTGAATTACAATCTTTCTACTCATGCTTTGATTCAAAGTGTTAATCCTTTTTCAGTATTGCTAATTAAGTAAAGCCTACATTAGTCCATAGAAGAATATCAAAGTAACAAAGAATAAAAGTAGATAACAAAATGGTAATTTCAGATACACTACAGACACACCATAGTTATGAATTTGAAGACTAAACTTTAAATGTTACACTTATAGAAGTTTAGTGCTTTGGCTTAGGAATGCTGTTTCAGCTTGCAGGTAAACTAGAATTACCTAAGGAAATCACCTTCATTTGAAAGAGTGATTAAGGTCCATATTATGTCACTTTAAACTACGAATTGCTCTGAAAGAAGCCTCTACTGAGGATAAAAGTCCCCAGCAGAGGCTTGATTCCTGAACGGCCATCTTCCATTCCCCTGTTTCAAATCACCAAGTCAGACCACTTCTCTAGAGCAGGTCTAGCTGTCTCAAATCAGTACTGACATAGACTGATTCTGTAGATCATGACCTTAATTTTGTATAGGTACTTTACTTTGAAAGGAATAGACTCTGCCTGAATTTGACTGAGCAACTTCTTTTCATTGAATGGCTTTGAAAGCTACTTCTGTGTACAGCACATTTTCCACAATAGAAATTCAAGGATATTTTCTATCTCAATACTGTCAGCCCAAATGACTTCAAGCAGTTTCAATTCTGCCATCTGTAAGAGATGAATTTGTTCAATCAAGTTAAATCACCGTACCAGCTCAGTCGCTGCACCAGAAGGCATTAGAGTTTTACCTAACTGTTCTTATTCCAAGGTTAAATTAGTGTCTGAGGTTTCACATTTTGCCCCGAACCAGCAATTTATATATTTGTAATAATATATTCAGAAAATATTCATTAGCTAATTTAAGATGTCACATGGAGTGATTGTTTGAGCTTCTACTAAAAACATATTTTAAGATTCATTTTTAATAAAAAGAAACAATACTCTATTCATTATAAGTTGAATTTTAATCCATGAACTATGTATGTTAGGTATAGTGTATTCTACCTTCCTTACACATATAGAAGTTCACAGATGCACATATAGGCACATATACAGAAGGCTGAAGTCCGGCTCACCTTTAAAATTTCCTGATATTTTCAATCCTGCTCAACTTAGGTCAAGTCTCCTTTCACATCCAGTTTGCTTTATTTCTACATTTTCTTTCCTGGTCTACAACTACCATTACCTGTCTTGAACCCTCATCTAAATATAGGAGCTCATTTCTCTGTTCTCAGTTTATTTTTCTAAACATTTTCCTACAGGGGCTTCTTATAGTTATTTCTTACAGCACTTTTACTGATAATACAATAGCAGGACATGTTTTAAAATCACAGAATAGGATATTTAATACAGCTATTAGGAAATACTATTTTACACAGTAGATTTTTCAGTGTACAAAAGTAGCCATCTTGTTTAGTTAGAACCACCTCCATGATACATTGTCAAGGTATAGAATGAATATTCATGAGCTAAAATTTGAAAAAGAAAGAAGGGGAGGCATTATAAACAATTTTTCATGTAACCATATAGAATATCTGCAATACAACTACCACAAACCAGTAAGACGAGTTGTCAACTGGAAGAAAACTGTCTGGGAGCCAAGCATGAGAGGGAGAATTTTCATTGTGCAAAATAAAAACTTTGAAGCTATGTAAATGAATTATCTATCAAAAACATTAAAAATAAATAAATGGCTTCTGACCAAACAACTATAGCGATTTCTTTGATTGAATAAAGTGATCATGAAAGTCTGTTCATTAAGTAAAGGGGATACTGAACTTAAATAGGTTTGTAACTCAAGGATAAATATTAATAAAAAACGCAGGTATAGCCGAGCATGGTGCCTCACGCCTGTATTCCCAGCACTTTGGGAGGCTGAGGTAGGCAGATCACCTGAGGTCAGCAGTTCGAGACCAGCCTGGCCAACATGGTGAAACCCCGTCTCCACTAAAAAAACAAAAATTAGCCATGTGTGGTGGCACACTCCTGTAATCCCAGCTACTCAGGAGGCTGAGGCATGACAATGACTTGAACCCAGGAGGCAGAGGTTGCAGTGAGCCCAGATCATGCCATTGCACTCCAGCCTGGGCAATAGAGTGAAACTCCATCTCAGAAAAAGAAAAAAAAGAAAAGAAAAGAAAACGTAGGTATAAAGTCATAGATTGGATGCACAGCTTTCTTTATCTTGATTGCAGTTATACAATACAAAAACAAAATAAAACTTAAAAGTTGTTGCTCATTTATTCTAAATTTTTTTTCTAATTTCTGAATAGACTACAGATATAAGGTGTTCAATGAATTAAATATCGTTCCTGTCCATGTATGGCTTATAACCTAGTGGGGAAAATGATATTTAATTTTAAAAATAGAAAATCAAATTCATAATTATTAATGTTTAGTAAATTTTATATTAAAAATTGAATTTTCAGATAAATATAATAAAAGGGAAAGGTTAGAGAAGATCTCACTGCAAAAAATTACATTTGGTTTCATAGACTTAGGCAGACAAAGAAAGAGGGAAAGAGTGTTCAATAACTAATGAAAGAGACAAGAAACAAGCTTAGAAATGAAGATTAAAAGCAAATGATGCAGAACCTTGGAAAACAGGTTATAGATTTTCTATATTTTCTTAAATGCAAAAGAAATCCCAAACAGATTTTTGGAAGCCAGCTGTATTTGCATTTTACACTATCCTTCTGAGTGACACAAAGAGAAGCCCAGCTTTATTTAAAACATACAGTCATGTGCCACATAACAACATTTCAGTTAATGAGGACCTGCATAAAAGACAGTGGTTCCATAAGATTATGATGGAGACTCCCCTATAAAAGTGGACCATTTTATTTAATCTTTTATACCGTGTTTTTACCATATCTTTTCTATTTTTAGATATGCAAATACTTACATTTGCATTGCATTTGTCAACAGTGTTCAAGACAGTAACAGATTTGTAGCATAGGAGCAATAGGCTATAGTATCTAGCCTATACTGTCTAGCCTAGGTGTGTAGCAGGATATACCATCTAGGTTTGTTACACCCAATCTATGATGTTTGCACAATGATGAAACCACTTCACTACACATTTCTCAGAATACATCTCCATTGTTAAACCATGCATGACTGTTCGGTGATAATCTACAGAAGAGATTTACTAGGGTGCAGAGAGATTAAGAAAGTTAGATTTGAAATATATTGAGAGGTAAATTAATAGAATTTGGTGAAAGTTGATGGGTGTTAAAATTGAGTTAAGTGTCTTCAATAGTGACTCCTGGTTTTGTGGCTTGAGCAGTTGGGTACAAGCAGATGAACTGTTATCTGAACAGAAAAGACTAGAAGAGGAGCAACTTGGGGTACAGGGAGAGCTCACATTACGTGTAAGTTTCTAAATTTTTGCTATCAATTTGAGTGTTGTGATATCAAATAGGCAGCCTATGTTGAACACTAGGAATAAATCCAACAGCCATAAATGTTCCCTCTCTTTTTTTCCCCCGCCCAGAGGAGTAGTAGATCTTTCTTTCATTACTGTTTGGCATGGACCTCTGTCTTCATTCAGAGTTATCTGATATGAAAATGAGCTCAGTGCACAGAAGGAGAGATTCAGACTAGGAAAATTGCCTCCCATATGGCAGGATAGTGAATACTGTTAAGGAAAAAATGAGGAATATTATCACCTTTATCAGAAAATGACACACAAAATGTCTCAAATTCCCAATGTCAATTAACCTGTTTGTTCAATGTCATTAGCAATTATCATTTACTAAGCAATTCTCATTGTTCATTTGGAACATTTCTTTATTTAGCCCTTTAGAAGTCAATTTTGAATTGGCATGTCACTTTGCCCCAGTAGACACCATGGAAACTAGGATAGACTAGTTAAAAGAAGATTATTTTAAAATTACCTCTTTTTATAAAAGAAACTGACACAAAACTGCTGTTTTGCAAATTATTCTTAAAAAGTGGCCTTTTCATTTTAAATGACTTTAATACTTTTAAAAGATCGAATAAGAAACGGAAAATAATGGTTTAACATTAATATTTAGATTGATTTTAGCTTCAGATCAATTTGTTTTTATTTATGGCTAACTTTTTAAATGATAGATTCTTTAACTTGTACTTATTTTTTTCTACTTTATCCTCAGATTATTTGTGCTAAAAACTACTCAAAGAAACAAAAGACAGAAGTTTGTGTCACTGAGTCCTAAGCTAAATGGAAGAACTTTGATGTTACTGTTTTCATCTCTCATACTTCCAGAAGGGTAAAGCTGGCAGATCCACATTCAGAGACAATCCCCATCAACCATTATTACACAGCTATGATTAGGACCCCAACCACTCTCTAAGTAGAGATATGATTTGCTTTTATAAATGCTGGGTTTAGTTGTGAATTTAAACTTGTTATGAATAAATATTGACATAAATTCTACAAGGAAATTGTTCCTCAGGCTTGGCGGATGTACCTCTTAGGAATAATAACAAATATCCTGTTCCAGATCGAAACTATGCCAATCAGTCTGAAAATACTCAATTTGTCCAGTGATTTCCATGTGTCTCTAAGCATATATATTTTACAAATAACAACTTCTTTAATCTTGGACTTGTGTTGTTTGATATGTGTGTCTTCTTTATTAGAGGATGGAAATGGAAGTTATCAAGGCTAGGCATACCTGATCAGTTAGTTAGTTGCATGAGATGCTAGAACAGTGAAACATATTATTAATGAGGCTTTAAGAATCTACCACATTCTCTTTCTCCTAGTTAATATATGGTGATCTTGTGTGTCTCATTTTAGATGCCTCCTGTAATGAGAAGATATCTCTAACCCCACACTGAGTTGGATTATACATTTTCAGGGAGTACGGCTATTACAAAATTTGTTATTATTTATTATATTTACCTTTTTTGTTTTCCTGGTTTTTACTTTGGGTTCCTCATTAAATCTATTATAATTTTAATGCAAGAAGCACATCTTTTTTTCATTCAATCTATGGTACAATGTTGTGGGTGTACCAAAGCTTATTTTCTATTCCTCCTTTCTGGACACATACAAGATTATAGAGCTTATGTGGTAAAGTGTAGCCATGTGACTGTTTCTGGACTATAATATCTAAATGATACTTTTAATTTCTGAGCTGAATCAGCAAATAATCTTGTTTTACCGTGGAACGACCACCATGGGGTACGTGTGTGTGAGATAACAGAATGTTTATTAATCTGGGTTCCTTTGTAAATATGTAGAATGAGGCTACATATTTGTTAATCGCTGATATTTTGGGGTTAAAATTTATTAAGCACGGCTTATTTTTAGCTATTCTAAGTAATATAGTGTTCTAAGACGCTAGTAACATGCTTGGCCTATAAGGTATAAAAATATGAATTGAATGACTGAATACATGGAAATATTTTTCCTCCTCAGCTGAAACTCCAGATGTCATTAACTTTGAAAGTCAATATTCATGTTGAAAACACCTGTAAATCAAAGTACACACTTTTAAAATTCATCTCCTTCATGATTTACTATATAAAATGTTTACCAATGTCAAAAACTTAGGTCTGAGATTTTACCCTGGTTACAGTGTAATGACTTAGGCTGCCACAGTTTCATAAACACTGGCAGAAGATATGAGACTCTCAGGTTGGAGACAAAGGACCTTACTCATCATGACATAGCAGGCAGCATGCATTTTATGTTTGCTTTGGTTCTCCTTATTCCCCATGTCTCAAAGAGTAATGCAGAGCACAGAGTGACTCAGGACTCAGAAAAATGCTGCCCAAGCGGTGAATATCCATCACCGTGAGGAAACCTTAGCTAGCAACACCCTAATCCTTTAAAGTGGCTGCATGCAAACCTTCTTGAATCTTGTCCTGGTGAACAAACAAATTTATCTTCTTCACTGGAGGGAGACATTATCCAATTTCCGAGATTGCATGCTATACAAGCATACTTGAAAACATAGCCCTGAATCTGTATGTCTTTCATGCACAGGTTAAAATGCCTGTGCATGGAAGACATACAGACTCACAAGACATTCACCAAAAATTGTCTCCCAGAAATTAAGAAAACAGATGCTTAGAAATTTCACTTTTTACAGGGATTGGCAGACTATGGCTTTCCACAAAAAATTATTTTACCCTTTCATTTACTCATTCAGCAACTATTTGTTAAGATACTTTTATAGAATAAATATGGGGTTTGACCTTTAATACATATTTACCTACCCAAAGTATGTATTGCTTCCATCAATGAGGTCCATAGGAGAAAGTTTGAAAATTTCAAATATGCAAGATTGAGTATAGACAAATTTAGGTGTGATTGGGAATAATATAAAACAACAACAGAAACAGCAACAATACCTAATATTTTTGAAATCTATTGTGTACTGGATGGCTTTAAATAGATTATGTCATTTGTTAAAAATAGCATAATTAGGAATGCTCTATTATTATCTATATTTTATTTGTAGTGTGTTTAATAGTTTAATTTAGAACGAGCATTATGATGAGATGAGTGAGGCAAGGTTAGGAAGTAAAAGGCTAGATCTTGTTGCTATTTAAAAACTTGGTATCAATGACTTTCTTCACCAAATAGCATGGTGCTGCCATAAAAACAGACACATGGACCAATGAAATAGAATATAGAACCCAGAAGCAAATCCATACATCTACAGTGAACACATTTTCAACAAAGGTCCCCCAACATATACTGCGGAAATGCAGTCTTTTCAATAAACAGTGCTGGGAAAACTGGATATCCATATGCAGAAAAATGAAGTTAGTCCCCTACCTCTCGCCATATACAAAAATCAAATCAAAATGGATTAAAAACTTAAGTATAAGACCTCAAACTATGAAAGTACTACAAGAAAACATTGGGGAAGCTCTTCAGGACATTGGATTGGGCAACAATTTATTGATAATACCCCACAAACACAGACAACCAAAGCAAAATGGACAAATGGGATCACATCAAGTTAAAAAGCTTCTGCACAGCAAAGAAATCATTCAGCAAAGAGAAGAAACAACCCACAAAATGGGAGAAAATATTTGCAAACTATACATTGGACAAGGGATTAATATCCAAAATATATGAGGAGCTCAAACAATTCTATAGGAAAGTATCCAATAATCTGCTTTAAAAATGGGCAAATGATCTGAATAGCCACTTCTCAAAAGAAGACATACAGATGGCAAACAAGTGTATAAGAAAGTGCTCAACATCATTGACTATCATAGAAAAATAACTAGAAACTAATGAGATATCATCTCACTCCTGTTAAAATGGCTTTTATCCAAAATACAGGCAATAACAAATGCTAGAGAGAGTGTGGAGAAAAAGTAACCCTCTTACGCTGTTGGTGGGGATGTCAATTAGTACAACCACTATAGAGAAGAGTTTGGAGATTCCTCAAAAAACTAAAAATAGAACTACCCTATTGTATTAGTTTATTCTTGCTATAAGAAATACCCAAGCCTAGGAAATTTATAAAGAAAAGAGATTTAATTGGTTCACAGTTTTGCAGGCTGTACAGGAAGCATAGCAGCTTCTGTTTCTGGGGAGGCCTCAGAAAGCACCCAATCATGACCGAGGGCAAAGCGGGAGCAAGACAGTTCACATGGCTGTAATAGGAGAAAGAGAGAGAAGGGGGAGGTGCCACATACTTTTAAACTACCAGATCTCACGAGAATTCACTATTGCCACAACTGCACCAAGAGGCTAAATCATAAGAAACTGCCCCCATGATCCAATCACCTCCTACCAGGTCCTATTCCAACATTGAGGATTAAAATTCAACAAGAGATTTGGGTAGGGCACACAGATCAAACCATATCACATATGATCCAGTAATCCTACTGCTAGGGATATACTCAAAACAAAGAAAACTAGTATATTAAAGAGATATCTGAACTCACATGTTTACTGCAGCATTGTTAACAATAGTCAAGATTTGGAAGTAACCTGAGTCCATCAACAGACAAATGGATAAGGAAAATGTGGTACATATACCAATGGAGTACTATTCAGCCATTAAAAAGGATGAGATTCAGTCATTTGCAAAAACATGGATGGAGCTAGAGGTCATTATGTTAAGTAAAATAAGCCAGGCACAGAAAGATGAACTTCACATAGTCTCACTTATTTGTGGGTGCTAAAAATTTGAACAATTGAACTCATGGAGATAGAGAGTAGGATGGTTACCAGAGGCTGAGAAGCGTAGTGGGAGTGGGGGGAAGTGGGGATGGTTAAATGGTTAATGGATACAAAAATATACTTAGATAAAATGAATACGATACAGTATTTGATAGCACAAGAGGGTGACTATAATCAACAGTAATTTGTTGTTGTTGTTGTTGTTGTTTTGTTTTGTATTTTTTTTTTGAGACAGAGTTTCACTCTTGTCATCCAGTCTGGAGTGCAATGACATGATCTGGGCTCACGGCAACCTCTGCCTCCCAGGTTCCAGTGATTCTCCTGCCTCAGCCTCCCAAGTAGCTGGGATTACAGGTGCCCACCACCACACCTGGCTAATTTTATTGTACATTTTTAAATAATTAAGAATATAATTGGATTGTCTTTAACAGAAAGAAAGGATAAATGCTTGAGGTGATAGGTACTCCATTTATCCTGATGTAATTATTACACATTGTATGCATGTATCAAAATATCTCATGTATCTCATATGTATAGACACCTACTATGTACTCATAAAAATAAATAATAAAAATAAAAAATAAAAATTTGATAAAATTCCTGCTCATATTGCATTTTTGTCATTGGCATTATTCTGTCAGATATCAAATAATTCTAAATATATTTTGGTTGTGGCCCATAATTAATTATTTTGATAATGATGGAGAAAATGTTTGATGAACACTCTACTGACATTTATTCATTTTATTCTAAGCTTAGGTTATATATAGCAATCCTTAGAGTCAAGATTTGTGGATGATCCATGAATAAAAATCATGTATATGGGAATGCTTATGGTATTTAAATTTCTAGTAAATAATAAATTTTCAGTGACCCCTCTGTTGACATATACCATTTTTATTTTTGTCTATACAAGATGGGGTGAGGATGCTGTCCTTGCTAAAGAAGGAAGTACTGCAGAAAGATGTAGCCAGGTGGCTTAAAAAGCTACTTGGCAGGCAACAGGATCATGCTGGTGTTCTGGACTTATTGGATATTTTATTCTATTCTTTTCTTTTTTTATACAGAGTGTCACACTATAGCCTGGGTTCGAGTGCAATGGTGTCATCTCAGCTCACTGCAACCTCCGCCTCCCAGGTTCAAGCGATTCTCCTGCCTCAGCCTTCTGAGTAGCTGGGATTACAGGTGTCCGCCACCATGCCCGGCTAATTTTTTGCATTTTTAGTAGAGATGGAGTTTCACTATGTTGGGCAGGCTGGTCTTGAACTCCTGACCTCGTGATCTGCCCACCTTGGCCTCCCAAAGTGCTGGGATTACAGGCATTGAGCCACTGTGACCAGCCTATATTCTTTTATTTCTTTGCAATGTTCCAGAGAACTTTCTTAAGCATTCATTATGTTTAATAACTTCTGCTTCCAAAGTAGACTGAAATAAACCCTTCTCCCCAAGATGTAGAGAGGCACTTCTTTCTACTGATGACTTATTTCTAGATTCAGAAGGCTACTTGTCAGATTTTTGTAACCTCTGATGCTATGAGGAAAGAACATGAAAGAATCTTAGAGAAAAGCCTATATCATCTTAAATATTCTTCCTCTGATGCTGTGAGGAAAGAACATGAAAGAATCTTACAGAAAAGCCTATATGATCTTAAATATTCTTTACTTTTCAAGGTTACTCACTCTCCCAACAAATTTTCTATCCTCGTTCAGTTTCTGTTCAGTGTATTAAAGCTTGCAGGCAGGAGCAGAAAGACATTGTGATGGTTAATTCTATGTGTCTATGTGACTGGACCACGAGGTGCCCAGATATTTGGGGAAATATTCTCAGTGTGTCTATGAGGGTGTTTCTGGATGAGATTAATGTTTAAATTGCAGACTGAATAAAGAAGATTGCTTCCTTCCTATGTGAGTGGGCCCCATTCAATCTGTTAAAGGCCTGATAGAACAAATTGTTGAGTAATAGAGATTTACTCTTTCTGCCTGACCAACTTCCAGTTAAGACCATGGTCTTCTCTTGCCTTCAGACTCAAATGGGAACTTACATTGTCGACACTCCTTCTCTGGCCTCCAGTTTGCCAACTGCAGATCTTGGGACTTCTCAGCCTCTTTGACTTCATGTATATATATATATATATATATATGCACACACATATACATATAATTATATATTTATATATGGAAATATGTAAAAATTATTTATAAAGATTACATATAAAATTATATATAATAATATATAAAATTATATATATGTTCATGTGTACATACATATATGTGTATATATACATATTTCTGTTTCTCTGGAGAATCCCGATAATACAGACATATGGGAGCAGGGGAAAACCTGGCCACTGGAGAGATGGTGTCGCACAAGCAAAGTTAATGCAGAGAAGGTGTAAGAGCAAAGAATAAGAGAGCAGAAACAAGTGTCTTAAAATCCACTCTTCACATATCAACCTGGAGCTTTCCCACATGTAGAACACACAAATCTGAAAATCAACCAAGCTGGGCTAATAAACCTTGCAAAGGCTGTTGCAGAGCAGCTGCAGCTACGGCAAACCAAAAGCTCTAGAAAATATCTCAATAATTCAGTGAATGTTTATTTGGAGAATCATTGATTCAGGAAATTTTCTTTTGTCAAATCTGCTTTGAGTGAATTAGTCGTTTTCTGAATTGTGTTTCAATACATCATAATTTGGTGATTTTTCTGCTAATTGGACAGCACTAAAGCAAAATCAGGGTGCTGTTGAGTCAGGAATTAGCTTTGGTGGCCTCTGGAGGGGATCAAGTTGGTTCTATCAATCAGTGGAGAAAAAATAAAAATGTAAAAGTTAGTCAAATGTATGAGGAAGAAATAAAATTTAAACAAATAATAAAGAGGTCATTCAAACAGCTACTCTATTACTTTCTTTAAAAAGAGTAGCTAGGAATAGGCCTGTGGAGATCAACAGATTGTCTCTCTAGGCAATCCATAAAGAAAAATTCTGTGTGAAAAGTGTATTTTTAGATCTTCAAGAAGATGAAAATAAGAAATGCACAGCTAGAATTATTTAAATTATAGAGCTAAAGCTTTGGTTTGTATACTTACCTGAATGAGAAAGCAGTAAATCATTTTCATATTTATCTCTTATACATCTCTATAATTCTAAGAAGAGTCAAACTAAAATGTATATTGAGGTCATCTAAAATTGAATTGTTATACAAAAGGAATATCTTAGCACCTTATTTGTAATTATTTTACTGTTACTGATATTTTGTGATTTTGCTTATTTTATGCTTATTTCTCTGGAAATAAATTATTTTCTTTTTAGCCTGACTTGGTTTTGTTTCTACATTATTAACATTTCTTTGGACTTTTGAAGACTATGAATTATTATGAGGTTAATAATTTTTTTTAAAAAATGATAAATGAAGAAATCTCATTGAGGTATTATTTGTATTTTTGTTATGTTATGTCTTGTTATTAAATGTCAGATAGAGCATATACATTGATCCATAGTGTTATTAATACAAAAGCTTGGATCATCAAGAGATACATATGAATTAATAACACCGACAAAGAGTCAATTCAGAAAATAATTAAACACATTGTCTCCTGTCCTGTCTTTTGTGACTGAAGTGTTTATTATTATTTTTTTTCTTAGTTTTCAGTGATAGCTTTTCAGTCAAGTTCATCCCTTCCTTGAAATCAACAGTTCTCATCTGATTTTAAGACTTTATATTGACTTCACATTATTATATGTCAGTGAAGTACCTGGGGAATGTAACACTCTTCCAATGATAGTGTCCTGTCAATTTCTTTTCACATTCTTTTCTTTCCAGGGTATAATATTAGGTATAGACTTTATTAAAGAAAGGATTTTATAGGTCTCAAAATCCTAGTAAAGTCATATTTTCTGTGAATATGGTATTTCAAACACTAGTGTCAGAACTTTTATTATTTTCTTCTTCCTCATTATCTGTTCACTTTCTCTAGTATTTTGTTATCTTCATTCCTTTAAAACAAAATGGTATAACCTAGAAGATACGAAAAGCTATGATTCCATGAGTGGGGTTCAAAGGATGAGCTAATGTCTAAAATTGTACATGTTATTGTGTGTGAATATCCGGTTATGAACAGCATTTTTTTTGGAGAAGGAGCCTATAACTTTTATTAGTTTTCAAGGAGTACATGGTCAAAGACAATTTTTAAAACTCTATACATTTAAAATTATTTCAGAAATATTTAAATAATTTACCTCAAAATTTAATAATTTAATAGGGTATTATTTTACCATACTGTCTAAAATGTAATGGAAATTGAACTTCTAATTTTCTCCCATTTTACGGGGTTTCTTTCTTTCTTTAAGTTTTGGAGTACTTAAAAATACCTCAAGCCAAATAAATTACCACTAGTCATGTATACGTTCAAGCAAATATCATCCACAGACAAATATCAATGGGATCCTCTTGAATTTGGTTGTTCTTTCATGTAAACTTTGTTTCACATGTATCTTTTTGAATTTTATATGCATTTGATACAAGCATGTAGTAGATTCTTATAATTTTATGTTGTTTCAGCATTCATTTTGAAAACAGGTTTGTCTTTGTTGTACCTCAAGCAGAGCTCAGTCTCTCTTGACACAGTTTTTAATTCTATGCCTCACTCAAATATCTCAAGCCAGTGGGCAGACTTAAGAACTTACAAGTATCTCTCTGGTCTAGTTGACTGGGCTCCTTGCTTTCCCACAGCTTCCTTTAAGCTGACCATTCAGGCATTTGCCTAGACTCTTCAAGTGACCCACACTCTGTTCCCTTCTCTATACTGCCAATTGCCACATGCTCTACTCTCTCCCTACTGACTCCTCATTCCTGCCTCATATGACCTAGATACCAAGTACTGCCTTTGTGACTCACTGGACCCTCCTTGCCCAGAATCTGAAAGTAAAATCTTTGAACTTGTTTCCTGTTGTGCCGGTGCATCAAATTTGTGGCATCCATCTAAAGAACTAGGGGATGCCCCAGGCTGAGATATCGCCAGGATGCTAGGAGTAACACAGCGTCAGACTCTCAGCTTCAGAGCAATGGTCAGGCAGACATAAGCCGAACATGGGTCAGTCAAGAGCCACAGGGGCATCTGCCAGGATAAACAAGTTTGCCATGTGAGGGGTCCCCGGTCATGGGTTGTATAACTGCATGTTAGGCTGGGTGCCAGATCAAAGCAGTACCCTGTGAAAGGCACACTGTAAGCACTCACATCGAGTCCCTTTTCATTTTCCTTAGGGAAGGGTTGCTAGCTGCTCGGACACCAGAACCCCAATTTAGCTGGGGGCTCACAAAACAAAGTATTACTGGATTATTCATGAAAGCTGTTACAAAAAATTTTCACACAAATGTTGTGGTTATTATTTTAGACAAATTATGCCTGAGAGAGAATCTTATCTGTACATGTTTATATGAGAACTGATTTCTCTAAAATCAAGAGCATTTTACTGTCTTTCCTATAAATAAGAAAATGTACATTTTCCCATAGGACATAGTAATAAAACTGATAAGCTCTAACCACACGCTGGACTAGGGCTTCCTAACTCTGGGGAACAGACAGCCTATCTGTGAGTGCTGGATTCAGAATAAGTATCTTTCATATAGAATGACAACCAAGCCCCCAAAAATCCAAGTCATAGAACTCTAATATAAAAACTCCAAGTCCAAAGTATTTTAAGCTTTAGAAAGCCTTTTCAAGAGATAACCTGTTAGAAGAGACAATATGCATGTTCATTGTCTGTAATTTTGACACTAATTTAAAACATTAAAGGCTGCAATGTTATAAATGATATACACGTTCATTTCAAATTTTCACCGTACTTGATATTATGAAATGAGTAAGATATAATCCTCAGTCAACTGTTCTCCCCAAACTTACCTTAGTTTGTAAACACAAAGACATTATCAAGCTTTCAAGGAAAATAAATATTTGATATTTTCTTTCAGAATGCTATATTCTACTCCTTATAGGTTCCAAATCTTCTTTTCAATTATTAGATATGATATTTTGAAATAATTCTGGAAAAGGAGAAGGAATAGTTATTTATCCATGTATTCACTTTTTGTTTGTCAATCTCTACTACAATATTGGCCATAGACACTGAAGAATTTTAGGAGGAAGTAGGGGAGAGTGTGATGTGGCAGGATGGGGAATGAAAGAATGTGCCATAAATGTTTTGAATTACATGAGCCAGAACTCACTTTTAGCTGCAAGAGTAATAAATGTCACTAGAACATGCTGTATACCATCCTGCATTTCAATATACATTCTCCTTATTTTTGAGTGATTATCTAACTTTTTACCAACTTTCATTTATTTAACAACTAATATTACCTCAGGATTGAATGAATATATTAGACAAAACAGCAAGATAAAATTACAATGCAAAGTAACAAATACCAAAATTTATTCTAGATTTTAAAATTTTCCATTTTATTAGATTTTAAGTGATCAATATCAGGATTATTATATGATAAGATATTCCATTAAAATTCTATTAGCTGAAGTTTTCAAGGGAGAAAGATACCCCAATATTTGAAGATTGATTTTTAAAGAAAATAGTGAGACTGATATTTGATTATTTGATTATGAATGTTTTATATATACTTTTATCATATGTATTAACCATAATGGATATAATAAATAGCAATTACATATTTATAGTTCCTTTGAAAAATTAATTGCAGTTTTCTTTCAGTATTTGTTACTAATTAGATAACAGCAGAAAAAAGCTAATTAAAAGTACATATAAGAAGTATTTTCAGAAATAGTAATGGAATATAACCAATCTTGCTGTCCAAAGAAAGCAAATACAAATAATATAAAAGTGTATAAAATCATGTTCAAAAATGGCATTCATTATAATCCAAGAAATAAAATAAATATCCATGAGTAAATAAATAAGTGGTGGAGAAGGGACAACTCTTCTTTACAGAAAAAAATTCAATACATGAATGTGTAAGTATTGAGAGAAATAGATCAGGATTGTAGAATTACAGCAATAATTGCAATAGGCAAGATCCACTGATGACTTCTAAAATTACTGACTAAAATTCTAAAGAGAAATAAAATATTTGCATAACCTACAGCATACTTTCGGATATAGTCTGTAATTACTATGGCGATTTTAACATACGTGCAAACTTCTCAGATTATTCTCCCTCCAAGAGATGGAGCTGAAGTCCCTTCCTGAGTGTGGGTTGAATATAGAAATTCACCTCTAATGAATTGAGTATGAAAAGGGGAAAGTGGTAAATTTACACTGCAGAACATCGGTAGATACTGCCATAATCAAGTGATCAAGATCAGCATCACCTGTGATAACACATATTGACATCATGTGTCCTCCATATGTGATGAGGATGGCATTTCACCTCTCTGATATCTTTCCTCCAAATCCTTATCTTCTGTGTAATCATGAGAAATTCAAAGAAACTCAATTTAAGCAACAATCTAAAAACCACCTGAACATTATTGAAAAATGTTTCCTCATGAAATGTAAGGTAAGACTGAGTAACTCTTACCTACTGAAGGAAACTAAGGAGCCATGACAACTAAATGCAGTGCAGAATCCTGGCTTGAATCCTGGAAATATCCATTAGTGAAAAACTGGTAAATCTGAATAAACTCTGCAGTTCAGTTGATAGAATTGTACCAATGTTACTTTCTTCATTTTGCTTATTATAGTTATATATATTATTATAGTTATGTAAAATTTTAACATTAAGGAAAGCTGAGTGAAACATATTTGAAACTCTCTTACCATTTCTAGTATTCTGTAACTTTAACATTATTTTAAAATAAAGAAGTTTTAAAAAGAATATTCAGAATCATTGTTTTATTAAACATTCTTAAAAGTTTAAATTCTGTAGTATCACTACAATTCTTGTATCACCTGACAACTAAGATATCCCTGCTATATTTTCCTATATCCTGCCTGGTGTCCTCCATTACATGTTTCTGTGATCATCTGTTATATGTCTTCTGCATGGTGGTATACAGCGTCAGGAACAATTCCTGATTCACAAAGGCCTCATCATTTATATAATAAATTTATGTGAAATCCATTCCCAAATATTTAGAAGGAGTTCATGTTGGGTTTATTGCATTTAATGGTGTACTCAATATTGAATTTATTTGATTCAGAGGAATGAGAAGAAAACTATTTCAAAATCAAAATGACATCATTAGTGTACTAAATTGATTCAAATTAATTCTGTATATAGTATTTCATACACAAAATAATTTGAGAAAGGAGTTTTTGTAATTTAATATAAGGTAAGATCTTTAATTTTTCACAATCTCAAATAATTGTATTGAAATACATTATAAGCTATACATCACAAACAATATTTTAACAGAAAAATAAATTTTTATACATGTACATTTTTTCCAATTTGAAAAAACTAATTAAAGTCTTCCAATATCAATCTCTAATCCTCTGGGCTCCTCTAACAACCCATTATACTGTAACATAGGAACAATACAGTCATTTTAATTATTTCTAAACCTACTGAGTACTTTTACGATTATTTTAAAATAAGCCACCTGACAGTGTTCCAATTGTCCTGAGAAATGAAGGTTCATTAGTTTGAGTGAATGAATTGTTTAATAGTGTACTGATTCTTGCCTCACAGGGAATCTGAGGAAGTAGATATGGAAATTTCCACATAGATTCCTGTATTATTCATAAAAAATATATGTAGTTTTACCAAAATGTATGAGTTTAAGTTTTTACAAATATTAAATAATAAATTTCAATATTATCTATGCCTTTCAGAAATTTGATTTATATGTTTTTAAGTACAAATAATATCTCAGTAATTTCCTCTAGAGTTTTCTATGTTCTAAGGACTATACTTCCTTCATGTATTACTCTGTTATTTGAATGGATTGTTTCTGATATATATGTTGATATTTGTAATAGAAATAAACATCCATACAATGTAATGAATTGGTTTTTAAAAAGAAAATACTTCATTTTAATTTGTGTAAAAATAAAGAGAAAAGAATTTGTTAGAAGCAAAGTGATATTAAGATTTCCAGTACTTGTGAAACATAAGATTGTTGATGATGATCATGATGATGCTTTTGAAGAACACGATAGTAACAAAGCTAACCTTTGACTTCTACACTGTGAGCTTTACAATGCATATGAGGAGAAGGATTGCTTCTATCCCTATTTCACGAATGAAGGAGAGAAAAATGCAGTAAAATTTCTGAATTCAGAAGACAAAGATTGAAAGCTATGCTGGGATATGATTCCACAAGTTTGCCTAGTAGGTCTGGGGTAGTTTCAAACGTGTGTATTTTATACCACACCCTGTTTTTGTTTTTTACAGTATTTATCTTAGATAATGCTGATGTACTCTTCTAACATAGAGTACATATTCAATAAATATTTACTGTTGAGCTATTGATATGTTTTGGACATTGATATGTCAAAAAGCCATCTTGACTTTTGGAATTATTCACTTTATGACATTATCGATTACGATAATTGGAGCAAGTGCTACATGGGATTGTTGAAAGGGGATTCTTGATGAGATATACAACTCTCAGTGCTAGGCGTTGTTGTTAAGGCTGCAGAAATGAGTTCAATACATCATCCCATGGCAGAAACACTCATTCAGTAATATTTTCAGGCTGAAAAATATTCTGTATGACAATACTCTAAAGATTATAAAAACAGGGTAGAGTCATGAATTTAAACATTTTCATTGCTAGAATTAATTGCTATTGTACTATGTTGAGGCCTTTACTTTCTTCTTAATGAAAGAAAATGGTAATTAATATATGTTTTATATAAAGAGTTGAGTAAGAACTTTTGCAAATTGTATCCATTTTCAGGGAAAGAGATTTAATTTTTATTGTATTACCCGTGGCCTGGTGAAGTTGTAGCAGTAACACTGTATCCCACCCTGGGTTAGCTGCCCTGGTGTTTTCTAAAGATAACTAGAATTTTTGTACCTTTGAAAACTGGTTCCTGGTCAAATATCTTTGAAAAGTATACCCAGTAAACTTTCTAGATACTATCATCAGCTAATTGAATTTAAATGGCTATTCTCTTATTCCCTTAACAAGCTTTCCCAGTATATTTCCTTCTTGGACTTTCATAGAATGTAGCAACTTACAGGGAAAGAAAAAAGAACTGCATAACTTTAAAGCATAATAATACTAATAAAACAAACTTTAATAAGTATGATGAAGAGTCTTTGTATGGAAAGAAACAAAGTTGTGAGTGTCATAGTAGAGGCTACTTGTTAGAAAGCAAAGATTCAAAAAAAAAAAATAGGTAGTAGCAAACTTGTAAGAGCAAGACCATAAATTCTGATCCATCGTTTCTTTATCAAATATTACAATCAGTTTATCTGCCCTAACAGTCTTCCGTAATTCTACTTGCATCTCTCTCCTCAGAAACAAAGCCTAGGAGAAAGGCAGAGCAGAGTAAGTTCAATTCCCCTAAAAGCCATTACAAAACGATGAGGCAGCATGATTCAGTGGAGAGGGTACAGGTTTCAGAATCAGATATACCACTCTCTGGATCCTAACTGAAGTCATTGCCTTGAATAATACTCTTGACTGTAAGCTTCAGAACAATATTGCAAACCATTCTAATCACCTGAACATACACATATACATTAAGTTGAGGGCAAATTTATGAAAGAACACTGGAGTTTTTCAAAGAAATATAAAATATTGATCAGCAGCAAATCAAGAAGTGAAGAAAAAAGGCAGATGCAATTCTATAACCTTTATTTATCTATCTAACATTGATCTAACTTAGTTTATATTAGTTCTCTGTGTGTCTCACAAATTGTAGAGCAAGAAAATATGATTGGTTACACCTATATTTAAACTTACCTATTCATCTGCAGTTAGGTCAATAAAATTTAAAATTTGTGTCACATTAAATGCATAAATGGCTTCTGGAATTCTTTTAAAAAGAAGTGCATAGTCTTTGCAAACCCTTTAATAGTGGTCCACTGCATTTGATTTATTAGCTGCTCAGCAAACAAGTTTATTCTCATTTATATAAATGTCCAAAGATGACCCAATTTAATATGATCTAACTATTTCAACTATTACATTATTTCAGTAGTGACTACCAATTTGTTCATGCCTCTCTCTATGACCCTTTTTATAGTTCATTCAGGCTGCAATGACAGAACACCACAAACCAAATGGACTACAAACAACAGAAATTTGTTTCTCATAGTAATGGAGTTGAGGAAGTCTCAAGAACAAGATGCTGGCAGATTTGGAGTCTTTGTGGACCATTTTCTGGTATACAGATGGCTGACTTTTCTTTGTGTCCTCACACAAGGAAGGAGTAAATGAGCTTTCTGAGATTACTTTTGTAAAGGGCACTAATCCCATTAATAAAAGCCCTCATGACCCAATCTACTCCCAAAGGCCTCACTCCCCCAGTACCTCATACTGGGAATTAGGTTTCAACATATGCATTTGGGGTGGGACGTGTTTACTCAATAGAGTTTCTATATAATATGACTTTGACTGACTTTCCATTTAAAGAGAAGTCTGATCCTTCATCACCACTGGTCTTCAAAGGCCAATGCCATTCTTCATGTTTACATTGGGCTGTTTATGTTGGCTGTCAGCTGAGAGTTCAGCTGGTGTTGTCTATGGCAGCACCTAGGTATGTCCTCTCCAGCATGGATGTTTCAGAGTCATTCTTCATGGCATTGGCCTTTGTCTTGATTTTGGCAATGAGAGATAGCAAATATGATGCACACAGGGACTTGAAATGTTCCTTTGCACTGGTACTTGGCTTCTGTTGATAATGAAAACTCTTCATTCATCACATGAACAAGACTGGGCTAGAAGAATGAGAGAGGCCCTTAGTCTTCTCAGACATTACAGTTCCTAATCTCCACAGACACTGAGGTACCTTAGACCCTCCAGCTTCAGCTTACCTGGACCAGAACTGAAAAACTGCCAGAACAATATACAGAATCATGAAGAAATAATAAATTTGTATGCTTTAACTTGCTTAAAGTTAGAATATCTTGTTTTGCAGGATAAGTTAACTGATACAGAAATTGGAAGTTGGGTACTACATAACCAAAAATTCTAAAACATAATGGCATATGATTTGACATGGTGGCTGGAACAGGATGAAAAAACAATTTGGGAACTCTAAGAAGACTGAAAAATGATGAGAACTTTGTTAGTAAACGTGAAAAAGTAGTGAGGAAACATCTAAACAGGCTTAAAATATGATGTCTCATATGAAATAGCAAAACAATTCGAAAATTGTACCCTATTGGTAACATGGAAGATGGAAAAAATCTAATGGACATGTAGATATTGTTAAGGCTATTTCTCAGCAAAATATTGAAACATTGTATGGGAAGAAAGACATGAGTGAAAGAAAACAGTCTGCAAGCAGAATTTAGAGGAAATATAGAAGATCCAGAGTTTGTCTACATGGAGATTAAAAACTTTTTCATCTCCATTCTTTCAAAAGCAAATATCCTTAAAGTAAGAAATTATGAGATAAAATTAAATCAAGGGAGTGGCTATAAGTTCTTTAAAAATATTTTTGAAAGATTTAGTGGGGGTTAACTTGCAGACCTTCTAAACTAGGCAAAAGAGCTTCCAGGAATTTTAAAGACTGTTCCATAGTAACCTGATACATGTACCAAACAAGAGAAAGGCATATCTTGAAAATAACTTATCTACATGGTACTTAAAAAACATATAGGCATAAGATTTTGGAAGAAAGAAAAATGAATGGTAGAGAAGACAGTTAATCGACAAATGATAGAGCTATAAAAATTCCAATTTTAAAGGGGAAATGAGTAAAATAGAAGGCAGATGATGAGTACATATTAGGATAATTCTGGAGCATGTTATGGTAAGGCTATGTTCCAGTTACCTTTTGCTAGATTGCAAATTACATTAAAGCTTAGATGTTTAAAACGAGCATCTTATTTTGTTCATCATTTTGTGGGACAAGGATTTAGTGAGATTGACTGGAAGTTCTCAAAGTCTCTTACACAATTTAAAGTCAGATGTTAGCTATGGTGAAAATTCAACAGGTTAGGGCATCCAAGATGGCTCTCACACTTGCCTGACTGTTTATATTGGCTGTCAGCTGAGAGTTCAGCTGGTGCTATTTACGGAAGCACCGAGGTATGGCCTCTCCAGTATGGACATTTCAGAGCCATCAGACTTGTTACCTGGAGACTGCATTTCTAAGAAGAGTGCTTCAAGAGAAATAGAGAAAAGATGAATGGCTTTTTCTGGTCTGTACTCAATATAAATTTCTTCAGCCATCAGAGTGTGAGTTCTTGTGGTATGGGTTGCTAATCATGATGAGGTGAAAATAAATTATTCCAGGTCAGGAGTGCTATTCTTTATAAACCCCATAGAAGCAATTGACCATACATTTTTGGGTCTATTCCTGGACTCTCAATTCTGCTCTGCTGGTCATTAATCTAATCTTTATGTAAATATCACAGTCTTAATTAGTGTAGTTTTATTGAAACTAATTTTTCTTGGAATTAGAAAGCATAAGTCATTTAAATTTGTTGTTCAATTTCAAAGTTGTTTTGGTATTCTTAGTCCTTGCATTTCCATATCAATATTTGAATCAGCTTGTCAATTTCTACAAAAAAAAAAACTGCTGAAACTTATTTTCTTTATTTGACTACATTAAAACTTTATTCAACAAAATACCATAAAGTAAAAAGAAAAGTCACAAGATAGACTAGAAGATATTTGCAACATATAAAACTGACAAATGATTGATGTCTAGAATAAAAGAACTCCTAAAAATTACTCAGAGAAAAAGAAATAATTCAATACAAAGTTGGGCACAGGATATGAACAGGTTCTTCACAATAAAATGTCCATTAGAATGAAGGATTTAATGAGTAATTGTGGAAAATGCAAACTAAACTCATAATAAAACACCATTCTACACTCACGTAATTCACAAAAACTCACATTTACTTTGAAGATAAATTTGGCAATGTCTATAAGGCTAAATGTGTTTATTCTGTGATACACATCTTAAGTAACTAATGTAGTGAGCCCAATGCAGAAGAATGTTCCACTACAGTGTTGTAATACAGAAACTGGCAACAACTTCATGCCTTCAACTGGAGAACAGATGAATTAAGATAGTTCGCGTAATTGAATACTGCTACACAGTACTAAAATTAATGAATGAAAGCTTCACATATAATTATACAATAATGAGTGAAAAAAAGAAAAGCTGTAGAATGAGCAAGTATAAGGCTTAAAAATATATAAAACAGTACTAAAGAGTAGATGGTTTCGGTTATACACAGTGAAAGTACAACAACACAGGAATGACAAACATCAAATTTTGGATAATTGTTACCTCTGGAGGGGAGGAATGGCAATGTGATGTGGAAGTGGCAAAATGTTAAGATTTGACAAAAGTAGGTGCTGAGAACTTGGATATTCAGTATGTAATTCACTATACTAGAAATAGTACAGCCACAACCAACACACACATACACCTATTTAAGTCCAGAATGCTGTTTCAATAATACATTTTAGTGTCCCCTGAGGGGCAGATGCCATACTAGGAATTTGGGGTACAGGCACGAACAAGGCACAGTACCTCCCTTCAAGATAATATCACAGAAGCAGACTTGGCTCCTGATTAACTTTGTCACTGATGGCTAGGATCTGTTCTTCAATCAACGGGACTGAGACCCTTAAAACTTCAACGAATGTTTCTGAGGTTTCAGACACCCACCACTGCCCTGCTTCCTTTACATTTCCCTTACAGAATGAAGATAATGGGCAGACAAACCATGACAATGATTACAGCATAAAACAAAGACAATTTCTACACAAATATAGAAATTACTTTTATTATGTTAAAATATTCCTTAATAAGCTAGCAATTATTTATGTGGAGGAGCGTCCAGAAAACAGGTCCATGACTGAATTATCCTTGTCGTTGATTA
Source organism: Homo sapiens (assembly GCF_000001405.40). Taxonomy (NCBI): domain Eukaryota; kingdom Metazoa; phylum Chordata; class Mammalia; order Primates; family Hominidae; genus Homo; species Homo sapiens. Next base: position 61,970 of record NT_187555.1, read on the forward strand.
TAGAGATTCATGAATTACACTCATAACACTATTCTCTGGGGTAGCTGCGAAGCTCTACGAGGCTGTGAGTTTGGAGGCGCTTCTCCCTGCCTGTTAAGCTGCTCCCATCACATCACGACAGGTTGGACATTATTTTTCTCTTTTGAATTAAATCTTTACAACAGTTCGAATGCTCTTTCCAGAATGCATCAGTTGAAAGGCTTTGTTAATTTCACCAAAAGACAGATTGTGAGTCACAAATTCATCAACTTTTATTTTTTTGGACATATATTCAGACACCAACTTTGGGACACTTTCTACACTCTTCCATCCTCCAAAGGCAGTTCCTTTCCATGTGCGACCTGTTACCAGCTGGAATGGACGAGTGGCAATTTCTTCACCTGAAGCAGCTACTCCAACCACCACGCTGACTCCCCAGCCCTTGTGATAAGCCTCAAGTGCTGCTCTCATGACCTTCACATTACCAATACATTCAAAGGAATAGTCCACTCCTCCATCAGTCATCTCAATGAGCCCTTCCTGGATGGGTTTACTAAAACCCTGAGGGTTAATACATTCAGTGGCTCCAAACTCTTTGGCCCTTGCAAATTTATCTTTATTGATGTCCACACCAATGATCCGGGATGCACCAGCCACTTTACAGCCCGTGATAACTGCCAATCCAACTCCTCCCAGACCAAAGACGGCACAAACAGAGCCAGGTTCCACCTTGGCAGTGTTCACAGCAGCACCATCACCAGCTGAAATGCCACAACCTAGAAGGCAGAGTTTATCCAAAGGTGCTAAAGGATCTATTTTAGCAACAGAGATATCAGCTACAACTGTGTATTCAGAAAATGTGCTGGTTCCCATGTAACGCAAAATTGTCTTTCCTTTGCAAGTAAATCTGCTGGTACCATCTGGCATTAATCCTTTCCCTTGAGTGACTCTTATCTTCTGGCAAAGGTTAGTTTTAGGATATAGACAAAATTTGCATTCTCCACACTGTGGGATGTAAAGTGGGATGACAGTGTCACCCGCCTTCAGCTTAGTAACTCCCTCGCCAACACTTTCCTCAATTCCGGCACCTTCATGTCCCAAGATCACTGGAAAACAACCCTCAGGATCAGCTCCCCTCAGGGTATAGGCGTCGGTGTGGCAAACCGCAGTGGCAATGATCTTGATTCGAACTTCATGAGCCTTTGGGGGTGCCACCTCTATCTCCTCTATGGAGAGAGGCTTTCCAGCCTCCCAAGCAACTGCAGCCTTGCACTTCATAACCTGGTTCGCAATGTCTACCGATTCTGAAACTTATTTTCAGATTGTGTTGAATACAGAGACCAATTTTCAGAGAACTGAATTCTTAACATTATTGAATCTCCCAAACAATAAACACAGTATCTATCCCCATATATTTAGATCATTTAACATTTGTTTCAGCAATATTCCAGTGTTTCAGTACACAGAGAATGCACATCTTTCCTCAGATTTGTCCCTAATTATTTGAATGCTTTATAATACCGTACATTTAAAATTTTCAATTTGATTCTTAATTTCTAACGTATAGAAATACAATTGAATTTTTATATTGACCCAATTGACTGCAACTTTGCAAAACGCAAACAATCGTTTTAATAACTTTTTTGTAGATTCCATAGGACTTTCTACATATATAGATGATCATCAGTATACCTCCTACAAATGTGGGAGGCACAGAAAAGTAGGACAATATTAATAAATTCATATATTTTAAAATCTCGATTTGTTTCGGCTCCTCACTTTGTCTGGACCTTGCTCAGAAGATCACAGATTGCCCGGTGAATTTTACGATCTATAAACTATACCATTAGTATAGTGCCTCATGGTTTCTCTGTCTCTCTCTCTCCCCTACTGAGACAGCCAGGTGGGAAGAGGTTCCCAGAGAAACTCCAACCAGCCTGCGCACTGAGAAGAGTTCACATTGGGGTGGAGCCACAGAACTTTACATCCTTTGCAGTGGGGAGGATCCTGGCCCGTCCTTTTCTTGGGTGGAACTTGGAATTCAATCTGTGAGGCTGGAAACCCACTGGCAGAGAAACACATACTCTCGCTTTACTAACAGTCTCTGTTTCCTCTTTTCTTCCTTTTCACCCAATAAAACCCTGCTTTACTCACCCTTCAAATTGTCTGCAAGCCTAATTTCTCGTGGCCGTGTGACAAGGACCCTGTCTTTAGCTGAACTACAGAAAAGTCCTGGAATGCTACCACCTGTTTTTCTCAGAGAAGAAAAATCACAGTCATGGTGACTTGCTTTCCTTTTATTCAGATAATTTCAACATAGGCCATTTTTTGGTTCCAACTATTTCTCTTTAGTAGCATTTTTTCAAAGTGTGATGCAAGGATTCCAGTGAGTCCTCAAAACCTATTCTGTGGGTCTGTGAGATCAAATATCTTCGTAATACTAAGATGTTCTCTTTTTTTTGTTTCTATCTGTCACAGATCTATAGTGCAGTGGACACTTTTTAAAGTGGACGCTTAAAGTGATTTTACACCAGATTGAATGCTTTCTCAGATATGAAGATCCAGCAGTCTTCTATTAAGTTGTATATTAAAGTAATTTGAGAATATGTAAAACAAGGGCAGTTCTCCCTATAACATTTTTTGTTGTTGTTTGGAAAATATTATTTTTTACCAAGATCATGTTACTTTTGTTAATAGATAGATTATTGTTATTTTAAAATGAATTCATTTATAATTATTTTTAAACATTTTGATTTAATTTATTTTATGGTAAATATCCATAGATATAACCAGTGGTGTGCTGGAACTAGCTTTCCTGGGCTTGTGAGATCTAATTGTGCACATGTCTTTCCAATTGTTTGTTCAGTGATATCACATTGGTAGTCTGACATTGAAAATGGTAGAAGTATTGACATCACAACAATCAGTAAATACAGCAAATAAGGTTTGTTCACCCATTTCTTCCCCGAGAGCCTGTTGTTAAATATTTATCACATTACTGGATAAAACCCTCCTGATCAAAATGTCTTTCGATTCCTTGGAACAAAAAAGTTTGAGAACAATGGCTCCATAGCCATCAGTGCAATGCCAGCTAATATCGGTTTGAAAAATATTAACTTTTATTTATAGAATATCTTTTTTACCAATTTTCAAACCTCTTTAGCAAATGTGTAGAAACATATGGGTCACATGCGAACATTGTTCCAAGCTTTGCTTTAAATCTATGCATGTCTAATTGATCTGATACTGGGGAAATTCAACCATTAACACTATGGCTCTTCCAATAAAAGTTTTAGATGCTCATTTATTGATAGAACAAAAATCAAACAAACAAAAAGAATAAATCCACTACACTTCCCTAAAAAGAAAAACAAAGGAAAGGACAAACCTGTTTTGTTGAATCTTTGCAGAGAATACAGAGATGTATTTTCTTTGTTCTAATACAATGGTACAAAACCAATCCATGCATTATTTTAGAGTGGCTGAGTCCTTTATTTAAAATAATTATTCGCTATAAAATAAAAACTATGAACTTTAATTTTAGTTCAATCACCTACTAGATATTTGAACTAATTGACTCTTAGTGGCTAAATGACCTTGGCCAAGTTATCTGTACCAGTTGTAAAACTGCGATAATTGTACCAGTACTGTCCAAATCACAAGACTATTTTAAGTATCAAATGAAAAAATTAGTGTTAAAATACTTTGTATATAAGACAGTGTTCTGTAAATACATTACAAAATAAAACATTAATATATGCATAATGTTATAAAAACATAATGGAAAATATAAATCATATAAATACATATTTAAGTAAGTAGGAGGCAATACTACCCAAATATGTTTATTGATATATTAAAATTTTTGTTTTATTAATATAAAATTTACCTAGGATATTCAATATGTAAATTCCCTTTTTTCTGTAAAAATTAAGAATAAATATTATGTTTTCTGTTTTCATTAAAATACAAAAAATAAGGGATTACTTACCAATACATATCTATAGGTATTAATACAAAAATAAATGTATGAACTTGTATCTATTGCTACACTTTTATTAGTAGTACAGAATGTCTTTTTTACTACAATAGTAGTCAAAGAGCTAAGATTAAATTGTAATCAAATTCTACTTATTGTGCATGCTAATAATCTTAAATATTTCATTTTTAAATGAACATTTAAGCATAAAGTTTCAAATATTGAGACTAATACAACTTGAAACTAATACAATGTTATTATCAGAAACTAGCACAGTGCTAGGAATTCATAGATTTATTAAATACTGAATTCCAAGTTGTTGAACTTGGGAATGAATCTGGATATACTACCTTATTATTATTTTTAAATGGGATTTTGAAGTATGGGTACTTTATATTCTGAGACAGCCAAATAAACTTGCATTTTAAATTGGTAAGCTAAGGTTTACAACACTTACAATAAAACTCATTTTTCATGGGATGACAGTGGAGGAAATTGAAATCTGCTGCTCATTTTATAGCTGAACAAACTTCTAAGGGGTACATGTATTTGTATATTTTATGTGATTCCCTTTGTAAATAACTTGTTTAAGACTTTTGAGATTTAGCAATATGTAACAATGAATATGCATCTTATGAAGTGATATATTTTGTTGTGATTCACTTAAATATTGTTTAACTTTAACTCTGTTTTTTATCTCCATTTCTATTACAGTTCTTTCAGTTGATTTTTTAGCTGCTGCTAAAATCCTACACAAAACATTAAATGTCACCAAAGTTACAGTTTCAAATATTTATTATTGGTGTCAAACACATAAGACACTGATGCCCACTAAAAAATATTTGTAAATATCAATAGTCTTAATTGTTTAAGAACTATATCACATTTTGACAAAATATACATTACTAATTTTGGGGGTCTAGTCTTTTATTGACAATCTTTCATTTTCTTATAGAAATTTATTTTAATTGGAAATACATTGAAATGTAGGCAATATGGAATATCCATTTACGTAGGTCAAATTATTCTTTATAATAATTTCAACCTTATATAATTGCAAATATATTATGCACACACAATTACGTACATAAATACGTACATTAAACTTATAGTGAGATTATAAAAACAACCAACATCTAATTACTCAATTTCACTACAAATTTTCAAAAACATCTGGTTTCATAAATCTAGCTCTTAATGTAAGGTGTTTAGCATTACTATGTGTTTTTGGTGGTATTTAAACAGAATTTTTTTATAAGAAAATCAGTGATGAGAATAAATACAAATGAACTGCAACAATGCCTTTGTCATAAACGGTTCCCACTTTGTGTGATGTAGTCAAATTTTGCCTTAATTTTATTTTGATTTGCACCTTCAAAAGTAAATCTAGTAACAGTCAAAGAAATTTACTTAAATCAGACTGCAGTAGCACTTGTTTCCCAGAATACTTGTTATTTTTATTACAATTATAGTCATTATTTATCCTACATTGCTTGCAGTGTCTTTCCTACCACATTATTGCTGCTAGTAACTCTTACACTTCAGCTTGCTAATTAGTCTACTCAATCCATTCATCTCTTCTTCACCCTCTTGTCCAGTTGCTATTTTGTGGAGTGCACATTAATGATCTGTATCCATTATAGATTATACATCATAGAACTACTCTTTGTCCTTGTTAATTTAAGGTGCTGAGTTGGAGGACATAAGCAAATCTAATTAAAATTATTGATCATAGGTTTACCTGAGTTTTCTAACTTCAAATAACACAAAATTTTGGTAATTTCACATTTGAATTCTTATTGCAATATTTTAAGTGTACAATGAAAAGTGCAGTCTTAAATTTTTTAATGTAGTTTCGGATCAACTCCTCCAATTTCTAAGTATTTGATTGTGGACAAATTAACTTCCAGAAATTACAGTCCCCTTGTCTAAGAATGACTCAATAATGCCACTTCATTTACTATATTTAAGAGAAATACTTTGTTAAAGTTTTTACCATCCAGGTTAGCAAATATCAAATTCAAAATATGCTACTTTTATGATAAATATAGTTTAAAAGCACAGATTTTTTTAGTCCACATAGTAAAATGTAATGCCTTTTGCCATTATTAAGTGATTTTAAAATTTATTTGATGAAACATCTAAAAATATTTCAGAGCCTTTCCTTTCTAAATTAGAAAACAAACAAAAATAATCAAGTTAAAAATATTCCTAATCTCTAAACATTTATCAATTTATTAATTTCAAAAATATATCTGGGGTTCCTCCAACATATTAGATATTGCACTTAACACTGTGGAAAAATAAGAAATAATTGTTGACTCTGGTAAATCTACTGAGAAATTTATGATATAGTAAGGTAACACATTTCTTTTAGAAAAACTATTGTTTTCCATATTTATCAGATATCACTAGGACAGGAATAATAGTCACTGGAATAATAATAATGGTTACCTGAAAGATGCTCACTTTTATTTTTAATACCATTTCACATAAAAAATAATGTACACAAATAACTGGAAGACATCACTGTGACTGAGTTTAAATCTGAACAAACCTGGCCTTTAACTATTTCTTACATGTCATCACATAAAATATATTATTTTTGCTATTCTACATTAACTAATAAATTCTGAAACAATATCCCATAAAGAAATGTATATCTACTTTTTCTTTATAAATATCTTGATTACTTTGCAATAACTGTGAACATAGAATTAATTATACTTTTTATTACAAATGTGCATCTTCTCTTGTATTGGAGATGAAGACTGCCTTCTAAGTTAACATTTGGATTTGAAGAAATCTATCATAAAAATTAACTGTAATTTGGTCTAACATATGTTGGTCTCTAAGTATGTTTCAGAACAAAAATTACATGAAATACTAGAATTTCCTTAATGGAAATTCCAGTTAACAGTGTTCCAAATTGATAACTGAAATCAAAATTACAATATCATTGTGTTTCTTAATGCTTTTGATTGAGGAAAAAATGTGCATTGAATGTGGATGTAGATTATACTTCATCTTAAGTGGTAACTTGAATGAATTCAAGGCAGCCACTAAAAGCCTATATTAGAGATATGTCTGAAGAAGAATTCAGTCAGCCACATTAGAAACTACTCTGGGCAATCAGTGATGTTGCCCTCAGGGATTTCCCTGATGAAGCATAGATAACTATGCTTCATTTGTCCCTGGCACACTTTCTTCTGGTATCATTATTTTGCTACTACAAGAGATTACTAACAGAAAAATAATGATATACTCTATTTTATGTTTTATGCTTTTCTATATTAAACTACATAAAACATGTCTACGGATACGACCCCTTCTCCTCTAGGTGACACCTTTCTATCTAGTTCCCACTGAAATATCCAAAATAAATCTCTTTTGGCAGTGTCTTGATTCATTTAGTTGCTCTGATTGTGCTCATGTCATGTTTCTGTTGCTATTTTTCAGTACATACTTCGAAATTTTTATGTATTATTTAAAAAAAAACCTCAGAAAGATAGATACAAAAACAGACAGCAGAGTATAATTAAAGCCCATGTACCTGTTGGCTAGTTTTAGCAATTATTAACTCATAAACAGTCTGATATGTTTATACTCTATCCCATTCTTTACTCCAAATTATTTTGGAGCAAATCCTAATTCCATGTGAAAAAAAAATAGTATCTACCTCTGAATGACAAAAACACTAACATTTTGAAATACAACCCTAATACCGTTATAACTTGTAAAAATTAAAAATATCATAGTATTAAATATCCAAATGAATGTTCAAATTAATAAATATCTTACAAATGTTGCATTTATAAGAGTTTTTAAAGGAAATCATAACCCAAATAAAGTTCATATTACAGTTGGTTGAACAGTATTATTAAAGCATTTTAAATTTATACATTTTTCCTCCATCTCTTACTTTTTGACTTTTTATAATTTATTTATTGTAGAAACCAAGTTACCCTTTCTATGGAGTTCACCAAAGTCTAAATTTTGGAAATTGTATCCCATGGTCAAGTTCACTTGTTTTTCTTTCCCCTGCATTTCCTGGAAATTAGCACTTATGTAGGGAGAATTAATCAAATTCAGATTCTATTCAGTAGGAAAGGGTAGAAAAATTACCTCCTAGGTATTGATTTTTCCACCAAAAGGCACATAATCATTCTGATATCTTTGTTGTGATGTTAGCATTTCTTGAAATACAATGCCTGAATCCATGAATTCATTAGAAGTTACAAAATGATGGAATTAAAATTCTATTATTCCTTCTTAATTGTTTGGCTAGGATTATTCTATACAGAAGAACTTTCTTTCATCAAATACTTGCATACCCAGTGACACAGTTTATATAAGAAAGGCAGGATGCACTAATAAAAATTTAATATATTTCAATACATTGCAGTATGATTCCTATTAATAGTCCTCCCTGGAAGGGTTCTGTGGATGCAGATACTGAAATGGGATTTGAAATGCAAAATATTGTTTAGCAATCAATAACTCTGAAGGAAAGTCAGAGAGCAGAATTGGGTGGCGGAAGAAGTAATCTCCACTGCAGATCCATCAAACCTCGCTCAACCCAGTGGGAAGCTTTGAAGCAAATATTATCTGTCAGAGTAGTCCCACATCATGACAAAATGGTTGGGTTTCTATACCCTCATCTCATCCAGGCATATCATGCAGGTTGCTCTGAGAAAGTCTATGTGACAATGGAGAAGGCATCTCTCTCCTGCTGGGAAGATTCAGGAGGAGCTGGCCAGTGGAAACTGCTAATTATGATCCTTGAAAAAGGACAGCAGTTCCTTTTTTGAAGGGTATGGGCAATTCTAATGCATTTTAACTGTTGAGCTACTATCTTTAAAGTTCAACTCTGTGGATTTTTTTTTTAATTGTCATGTGTCTATTACAGTTCCTTAAAACAAAGTTATCCCTGAAAAAGTCGGATAAGAAAAAGTAATACTAGCATGTTCTAAAGCGTTAGGAACAGGAGCAACTCTTGGTATGTACATTCTATTGTTCTATAATTCATTAGCTTCTCTGTTTACGCCTCTATGCTATTATGCTAATATGTCCTAACCCCTTGTTTAATTTCACGGATGTTATATCCTTCCTATTCTTTCTAGTAGAGGTCTTCTTATCTGAGAGTTTAGAAGTGAGGCACGCACATGTCAAAGGACTTTGTTATACATATTACCCAACAGTCTCACATCTTACCGCAGTTAAAATTTGTATTAAAAAAAAGAGCCTGGTTTATCCCTTTATGAATTGTTATATTCCTATAAATGTCAACCATGGCATTTTTACATTTTTTTATGGTAGCTTTTTTCATTACTCACAAATACGTACACACACATACACACACACACACACACACACACACATGCTTCTACTGTTTCCTCTTAACATTTCAAATGCTGTAAAAGTACATTTCCTGGAATCCTTTGATGCTGAGGTTCTGGATATTGGTTAAGTTCTGACAATTTGTTCTACTTTTAGGAGATTAGTGGGCCAAAAGTGGAACTGCTTTGTGTTTTTCCCCCTTGCTGGCAACCACAGTCTTTCTTTTCTTTAAGGAATGTTTCTAGTGTCCTGGTATCACCTCTATGGAGAGCAGGATGCAATTGTTAAGGGTTTTAGCAGCTTCCTGAATTCTGTATTGTTGGGTAGCCTTATATTTTCCCACCTTCCTGATTGTAGAGTGATGGGCAGCCAAATGGAAGGCCCATCCTAGAGTTTACTCCATCAGGCCTCCAATTATGGTTTGCCTATTAGATATACATCTCTCTCTCTCTTTTTCTTTTCTTTCTTTCTTTTTTTTTTGCTTTAAAAGAACTAGAATGTTTGTAGCTTCTGCAACTAAATTCTTACCTATGCTCAAACTGTTGTAAAATAGACAAAAATAGTTTCCTCTAAAAGAATATCAGATAGTGCATTATAGAAGACACCTATTATATTATATAGAAGCCAATGCACTTTAAATTGGATAATTTGACAAAGTATAGACAAATACTATCTACCAAGGATTTTAAAATACTTCTTTTGCATTCTGGCCTTGAGCATCACACTGTACTTAAATGTATTCTTTTACTTTATTTTTTTACATTTTTGGTTAGTGATAGTTCAATTTTTAAAAATTGATCTCAGAAAATTTTTGTATGAAACCCCAAATTCTCAGAGGTTCAGCGGTCCCTAATAATTAAGTTTGCACCATCACGATTTTCCAAAAAGTTTCAAAAGCATTAGAACATACATTCAAATTAATATATTGAATTAGCAAGACATATGTAAATATTTTAGATTTGAAAACACAAAAAATGTATATAGTGTATTATAGAAAACTTGATGTGCCACTCATAATATTTACTGTATGCCACCTCAACAGTATCATTCAGATACCCAGTCCCATTAACTTATCATACAAATGAATAATTGGAGAAGGAAAGGAATGGAATATAGATTGGTGTTGAAGTTAAAAAATAAATAAATAAATAAATAAATAGAAATACATACGATAAACAAAACAGAATGATAGTAATATGTACGGCGTCCCAAGAAAGATTTTTAACTCAGTTTTGAGCATCTGAGGACTAGGAAAAAAATGAAACAAGCAATCACATTTTTGATACAATGCAAGGAACTTTTGGAATTTCAGTCATTAAAAGAAGTCATTTCACAAAAGATATTCACAATTTAGTCTAGAAGAGAGACACTAAAATCTGTTAGAAACACAGGACAGATTTAAATGGTGTCTTAGTCCATTTGCATTGCTATAAAATAATACTTGAGGCTGGGTAATTTATAAAGAAAAGAAGTTTATCTCATGGTTCCGCAGGCTGTACCAGAAGCATGGTGCCGGCATCTGCTTCCAGTGAGAGCCTCAGACTGTTTCTACTCATGATGGAAAGTGAAGGAGGGCCAACGCATGGTAAGAGAGGAAGGAAGGAAGAGAGAGGAAAGGGATAAACCAGGATCTTTTTTTTTAATACAAATTTTAATTTAAATAGATTTATGGGTACAGATGTTTTTGGTTACCTAGATAAATTATATCGTGTGAAGTCTGGGCTTTTAGTGTACCTATCATTTTAATAGTGTACATTATACACAATGGATAATTTTTCATCCCTTACTACTCTCATACCCTCTTCTGAGTCTTCAATGTCCATTACACCACTCCGTGTGCCCCTGTGTTACAGGAAAAGGGTCTGGATCCAGAACCCAACAGCGGGTTCTTGGCTCTCTTGCAAGAAAGAATTCAGGGCGAGTCCACAGTGCAAAGTGAACGCAAGTTTATTAAAAAAGTCAAGGAATTAAAAAAAAAATGGCTTCTCCATAGCCTCCCTTGGGGCTGCTGGTTGCCGATGTTTATGGTTATTTCTTCATGATATGCTAAATAAGGGGTGGATTATCCATGCCCCCTCTTTTTAGACCATAAAGGATAACTTCCTGATGTTGCCATGGCATTTGTAAACTGTCATGGCGCTGGTGGGAGTGTAGCAATGAGGACCACCAGAGGTCACTCTCATTTCCATTTTTGTTTTGGTGGGTTTTGGCCAGCTCCTTTACTGCAACCTGTTTTATCAGCAAGGACTTTATGACCTGTATTTTGTGCTGACCTCTTATCTCATCCTGTGACTTAGAATGCCTTAACCATCTGACAATGTGGCTCAGTAGATTTCAGCCTCATTTTACCCAGCTCCTATTTAAGATGGAGTTGCTCTGGTTCACACACCTCTGACACCTGTGTACCCATACCGTAGCTGCCACTTATAAGTGAGAATGTGTGGTATTTGGTTTTCCATTCCTATGTGACTTAACTTAGGAAAATGGCCTCCACTTCCATCCAAGTTGCTGCAAAATACACTATTTCCTTCTTTTTTATGGCTCAGTAGTGTACAAGTGCAGATGTCCTTTTGATATAATGAGTTTTTTCCTTTGGGTAGATACCCAGTGGTGAGATTGCTGGATCAAAGGGTAAATGTAATTTAATTCTTTGAGAAATCTCCATACTGTTTTCCAAAGAGATTGTGCTAATTTACATTCCCACCAATGTTGTATAAGCATTCCATTTTTACTGCACTATGCCAACACCTATTAATTTTCTTTTTTTTTACTTATTAATAATGGCCATTCTGACTGGGATAATATGGTGGTATCTCATTGCAGTTTTAATTTGCAGGATGTTTTGAACAATCAGATCTCTGGCGAGCTAATAGAGTCAGAGCTCCCTCATTACCATGAGAGAGAATGGCACTAAGCCATTCATGAAGGATGCAGTCCCATAACCCAAACCCCTCTCATTAGTCCCCATCTCAGATACCAGGGACCAAATTTCAGCATGATATCTGGAGGGGACAAATATGCAAACTATATCTAATTGGATATATAAAATATGTATGCAAATACTTCGAAGATAATAAGGGGGAATTAATCTAAATGTCAAAAGTAAAATCGCCTTTATCATTAAGAGTTGCAGTTAGTTCAAAGTACATGGCTCCTGTCCTGTCTTCTGCTTTGCCTTTTTGTGAGCATTTATCCATTTACTTTTATCTCTTATCAGACTATCAGTATTTTGTGTAGCAGTAAGATGCCTTTCTAATTTCCCCTTACAAACTTGGGGGGTGTCACGTGCGTCCCTGTGAAGAGACCACCAAACAGGCTTTGTGTGAGCAACAAGGCTGTTTATTTCACCTGGGTGCAGGCGGGCTGAGTCCGAAAAGAGAGTCAGCAAAGGGTGGTGGGATTATCATTAGTTCTTATAGGTTTTGGGATAGGCGGTGGAGTCAGGACCAATGTTTTGTGGGCAGGGGGTAGATCTCACAAAGTACATTCTCAAGGGTGGGGAGAATTACAAAGAACATTCTTAAGGGTGGGGGAGATTACAAAGAAACTTCTTAAGGGTGGGGGAGATTACAAAGTACATTGATCAGTTACGGTGGGGCAGAAACAAATCACAATGGTGGAATGTCATCAGTTACGGCTATTTTCACTTCTTTTGTGGATCTTCAGTTGCTTCCGGCCATCTGGATGTATACCTGCAGGTCACAGGGGATGTGATGGTTTAGCTTGGGCTCAGAGGCCTGATGGGGTGGAATAACAATATAACATCTTTTAAAAAATAATTTTTAATTTTTATATTTTAAAATTGACAAAACTGTATATATTTACCATACACAGCATGATGTTTTGAAGTATGTATAAATTGTGGAATGATTAAATCTAGCTAATCAACATATACATTACCTGACAGATTTATCATTTTTGTGGTGAGAACACTTATATCCACTCTCTTAACATTTTTCAAGAGTCTTAAAAGACCCTACTTACCATTACCATTTTTAAAATTTAATTTGAATATAGAAACCTGTAAAACAAAATGTTTTTCTTGCCAAACCATGTATATTGAATTACTTTTATATCCTATGATTTAAAACATTTGAAGGCAAAAAAAAAAAAACACTTCCATGTATCAGCTAATATTTTTAAAGGCTATAGTACCTCATATACAATATTAATCACGTAAAAAAGCTTAGATGCATAAAATAAGAAGACATTAGTGTTTAATATATGTGTATTTGTTTACTTCCTAGCTTGTTTTGTTTTGAGACGGAGTCTCACTCTGTCACCCAGACTGGAGTGCAGTGGCGCAATCTCAGCTCACTGGAACCTCCGCCTTCCGGGTTCACGCCATTCTCCTGCCTCAGCCTCCGGAGTAGCTGGGACTACAGGTGCCCGCCACCAAGCCCGGCTAATTTTTTGTATTTTTCAGTAGAGACGGGGTTTCACCATGCTAGCCAGTATGGTCTCAATCTCCTGACCTTGTGATCTGCCCACCTCGGCCTCCCAAAGTGCTGGGATTACAGGCCTGAGCCGCTGCGCCTAGCCTACTCTCTAGTTTCAACTATACAAACCCCAAGAGATTTCTGACAAAAGAATGTCTTAAGTCTATTTCTTTCTAAGTGAGAATGGAGGGGAATGCATGCCTGTTTACAAATCTACAGCCATTTTATTGCACACTGCATGTAATGCATTGTGTAGGTTCTTGTTTAAAATTATTCTTCTGACTTCACTAAATAATAATTGTTTGAAATTACATTAGAAAATATTCAACTTCCCTTGCAATTCTTAGCAGTATTTAGTACATAATTCTATTTTCCTAAATCTAGTTACTCTGAGCTAAGAAAGTATAGGAAGCTCTGGTTGTTATAGCCAGTGGGCAGGGAGTGACATTTGCTAAAGCAACACATAACAAACTGAATTCAGTGACTTCTAAAGAGATGGGTGCTTCTCTCTCTCACAAAGTGGCAGAGAGATGTGTAAAACCCCTTCTCCATAGCACAGAAGCACAGACCAAAGACTGGAAGATGAAATCCATTGATTAACACAGGTAAAATGCAGAAGAATGGAAGTCATTCTGGATAGAATGGGCTTATATCAGGAATACCTACAAAAACAGTAAAAGAATGAATATATTCCAGATTTGAATGTACCTTTATGTTAGTATATTGAGAAGATTTGCACAGACTAAACATTTTCTTCAATAGGTATGAAACTGCAGATTTAAAAGTCAATCCAACTAACCCATTCTGCATAAAACATGGAGCATATAAAGGGAAGAATTATGTCCAGAATCACTATATTTTCTATTTAAATAACTTTAGGCAAGGGTATCTGTAATTACTAAAATCTGGAAGAAAATAGCTGAAGTAAATGTACAGTATTTACAATTTTATACATACATGCTTACATGCCCCTCATACACAGGGGGTATTTTATATATTTTCAAAGTAACACTTTAATAGCACTTAACATTTTATATTTAAATTCGAGTTTGAAAAAAATGTATGACTAAACTTAATTCAAATATTATATGAATTAACATTCGTTAGGCAAGAATATCATCACCCCTACTCCGCCTGAAGAAATTACGGAAGATGGATCTTCGTCCTCTGCAACCCTCAGGATTAAGGGTTATCTTGTAAAAGGGAGGAGGGAAATGTTAGAGGCGTTTCAACCGGAGCAACTCCATCTTGAATAGGAGCTGGGTAAAATGTGGCTGAGACCTACTGGGCTGCATTATCAGATGGCTAAGGCATTCTAAGTCACAGAATGAGATTAGAGGTGGGCATAAGATACAGATCATAAAGACCTTGCTGATAAAACAGGTTGCAGTAAAGAAACAGGCAAAACCCCACCAAAACTGAACCCGGAGCGAGCTGAGATCCCTCCACTGCACTCCAGCCTGGGCGACAGAGCAAGACTCCGTCTCAAAAAAAAAAAAAAAAAAAACCGCCAAAACCACGATGGCGATGAGAGTGATCTCTGGTTGTCCTCACTGCTACACTCGCACCAGTGACATGACTGTTTATAAATGCCACTGAAACAACAGAACACAGGAAGTTACCCTAGATGGTCTAAAAAGGGGAAGCATGAATAATACACCCTTTGTTTAGCGTATCATCAAGAAATAACCATAAAAATAGGCAACCAGCAGCTCTCAGGGCTGCTCTGTGTATGGAGTAGTCATTCTTTTGTTCCTTTACTTTCTTAATAAACTTCCTCTTGAGATATATATATATATATTTCAAAGCAAAAATATATATAATATGGGACACCTAAAAGGAACATTTCACAGAATGATTACTTAACAAGAATTATTACTATCTGAGGATTCTGCAAGTATAGTTTGATAAAAGACATAAGAGAATACATTGACTCAAATAGACAGTGCACAAATTAGTTTAAAGAGTCAATGGATGAATGAATAAAAATATATAATTTGGCATAATAGAAAAATCTTTGCATTGATTTCATTCAACTTTTCACAAATACTTGTTAAGCTGCTACTTACAAACTTCAAAACATCACCCTCAATGTTTCTTTTCAAGGTAAACTCGACATTTTAATAATGAGTGTAAAATTATTTTTCAAAAGAAACTGTGGGTAAAGAGAAGACTGTGAAAAAGTGATATTTTGGCCACGTCTTTATTATTGTATGATTTTGTAAAAACACTCAAAGATGTCTCAAATGAATATAATAGGAGACTGAAGTTTTTCTGATTTTTTCAAAAATATACCAATTGATATTTTTTGTGTTTTTGAACCATTTGTTAAAAATATAAAAATGCTGTATGATCTGATTAGTTTTCAAAAATACCTCATTGGGCCCAGTGAAGTGGCTCATGCCTGTAATCCTAGCACTTTGTGAGGCCAAGGAGGGAGGATCATTTGAGTCTAGGAGTTCAAGACCCCTGGCAACAAAGCAAGACCCTGTCTCTACGAAAAATAAAAAAAATCAACAAGGTGTGGTGGCCAGTACCTGTAATTCCAGCTACTTGCGAGGCTGAGGTGGTAGGATCGCTTGAGCTTGGGAGGTCAAGACTGCAGTAAGCTAGTGATTGCCCCACTGCACTCAGCCTGGGCAACAGACTGAGACCCTGTCTCAGTCTCAAAAGGAAAAAGAAAAGAAGAAAAAGAAAAAGGAAAAAGAAAAAAAGAAAAGGGAAAAAGAAAAAAAGAAAAAGAAAAAGGAAAAAAAACCTCACTGGTATTAAATGAATGGAAATTTACCAGCTAAATTACAACATAGTTTTTACATATTTGGCAGATATGATTGTAAAATGCCTATTATGAAATTTACGGTTAACAGACCATTTAAAAAATATGGTCTACATAGCCTTTTCAACCACAGCATTCATTAAAACTATGCATTTAAATAAAATGAATAAAAAAAATTTTTTACAAATAATTTCTAATATGAACAAAGACAGGGAGTATAATTATAAAATAAAAATATTTTGGAAATACACTTATGCAAGTTGTACAATGTATATTAGGCTTGTGTACACATGAATACGTATTATATAATTAAATATATATATATATACATATATACATTTGGCTTGTGTGCTAGAAAATTAGTTGATAGGAGTAAATAACCAAAACTTTGGAGACCACAGGACTAATATGTAAACCAAATATTTTCAGGAGGCAAATTTATATATATAATATATTAACTCTTATACCATGAAAAAGTAGACTGATTTTACACCCAAGTATTCTAAGTACCTGTGATAAACTTAGGAGGTAAGGAGGTCAAATAATGTGCTTCAAGGAGACTCTTTCAGGCAGCCTGAAAGCAATGGGGTATCAGGGCAGACAGCTGGGAAACAATGGTTGCTGACAGTACCAGCTGGCGTTCAACAACCAGAAAAAGAATGGTTTATATGTTTCAAGAACAACAAACTGAAAGTATTAATATAGAGACCTAATAGAAGGCAGGTAGGCAAGGTTTGGTCTTTGATGGAGTCTCCCTGAGTATTCAGTACAGTACACATAAAACACAGGGAAAGATTACAAATTATAGAGTTTTAGTTTTCACCTTTTAAACTGAGTTAAAGAAAGAAACCCAACCTGTGATCTTTAATTGTTTTAAGTTAACTTGCAGTTGGGAAAGAATTGTCCATAGGTTTTTAGAAATATTAGTAGTAAAATGTAGTAAAATGTAGTAAAATGTAAACATTAGTAGTAAAATGTAATTTAAATAAACCTTTTTCTCCTTTCCTTTTTGAAAGTAGACATTAATTTCCTAAAGTGGTGAAATTCTATATTATAGAGATCTATTTTGAATAAAAATCAGTAACCACAAAACATCAAGAAAGTTTTGCCATCTTCTCTACCTAATGCAATTTTATTACAATCTCATGTAATGAAAATAACACTAGATGCTGAACTCTGTAATCTCAATAAATTATTTAAATAAAGTTTAGGTATTACACATGTAAGAGTTCAGTTGTGGGTATTCCTGGTTGGATGGATCTCCTCTAAGTGGTGACACAGGAACCCAGGTTTCTGTCGTCTTGTGGTTCCACAATCTTCAACATGTCTCCAAATAGCACCATGGGAAGGGGAATCCACACTGAGTCAGACAGAAGTCAAGAAGTGGAGAAACATGTTTGAGAATATCTCTGGGTCAAGCTTGAAGTGAGCTCATCCTTGTTATCCACATTTATTTGACTAGAAATTAATCATTGGCCAAATCTAACTGTACATGGCTGGGAAATATTTACATTTATAAGTAGGAACAATAAACGGCCTTGGTGATCAGCTAGCTGCCTTTTCTTAACATTCTTAACATCTATTAAAACAGATTTATTTTTCCATAATATATTAAATATTTTGAGTCTTATGAAATAACTAAACATAGAGTAAGGGCTCTGAAAATTTGTTTTTAGTGCCTAAAATGTTTTAATTTATTTAAATTTTTTTTGAGTGGATGTGCTCTATCATTTTAACTACCAACTCCTCTAATTTGTTCCACTCTGTTTTTGCAATCTTATTATAAAATACATTTTAATCATCTTAAAATCGGTGTATTTAGAGTATTATTTTCTAATCAAACATTGTATATGACCTCAACTTTTCTCAAAACTCAAAAAGTGATTGTGTTAGTGTTTCTGGTCTGCCATAATCACAGACTGGGTGGAATAAACAGTAGAAGTTTATTTACTCAAGTTCTCCCAGCCCAAAGTCCAAGATCAAGGTTCTGGCCAGTTTGGTTTTTGGTGGGGCTCTCTTTGTGGGTTGCAGACAGCTGCATTCTCACTGTGTGCTCACATGAGCTTTCCTTGGTACTTACAAATGGAGAGAGAGAGAAAGCAAGCAAGCATAAGCAATGGAAGGCACTGGCTCTCAGATCTGTCTTACAAACACCAATCCTATTACTTCAGAGGCCCACTGTTAGGAAGATAATTACTTTCTTAGAAGCCCATCTACAAATACAGGCATATTGGGGTTGGGGCTTCAACATATGAATTTGGGGGACACAAACATTCAGTCCATAACAGTCCTGAATTCATACAAAATGCTCTTCTAAAATACATATTGATATTTGTATACTTCCAAGTAAACCTTAATGGGAAATAATTTTGTATGCCATCCATATTGTGAATTACTGAACATTTTTAAGTGAGCAAAGCAAGTTATTTTCTTGATAGCTTTATGAAATTTACCCTAAATTTTGTTGTTTTCACTACATACTAGTAATTTCCTATATGCAAAATGTACAAATCATTTCTTCATTTCCCTGGCATCGCCAATGAAATATTTCCAGTGAAAGGAAAAAAAAAACATTGCTTTATTTACAAAATATCCCTTATAATTTTCATTATTTTTCTGCTTTTGGAAACTTCAAGTGGTTGCAAAATATAGGCAATATTGCACATATTGATTCTAATAGTGTGGCTACCAAACCTTACTTCATCTTCTAGGTCCTGTATTTTCTCCTTTTAAAACTAGAGTACCAACTACATAGTCTCTAATGCTTTCCCAGCTCTAAAAACATGGGTAAAGGGCAGACTTTTTGTACTGTAGCACTCTATAGAACCAAAATTAAAATTAAAATAACTAATTTTTCAGTAAAGTACTTCCATAAAAAGGTATGTGTAAAGATGAAAAGGAAACTTTTTGAAATAGTTTGATTCAATATGCATCCTGTAATTAAGCTTCTGAAACCTTAGATTCTGGTGTTATTAAAGTGTTGAACAGTATCTTTTTCTGCAAGTCAGAGGATATGTGTCTCCTCAAAGAACAGAGAAGCAGAGCTAATAGAGGTGTGTTTTACAGAACACTTTTCAGTGTTAATACCAAGGAATACTTTCACAGAACGCTTGGAAGCCCATGACCACTATAGAAATCCACCTTTTGCCTCTCATTGAAGAGTTAGAGTAAGGACTTTTCTTTTTTTTCTCATCTACATTCTCTCCCACCCAAAGGGTGAAACTTAGGTAGTTCTTCAGAAAAATTGAAAGCATTTCTTGTAACTTATACAAAATTAGTTTTTCTATATAATTGGTTATCTCCCAGATAAAATAAGAAGCATCAAAGTTTATAGGTAGAATAAATTTTAATATAAAATATTACAGGTGATTAATATAAACAATAAAACTAGAAATAATGATAATTAACGTGCTATATGCAAATATGTTTAATTTTTCTATCTAACTTAAAAAAGTTAAGTTAGATAGAAACTTTAAAATAATTGCCTTGTTAATTAATGCCTAGTTCGTTTAAAAATCATTTAATCACTAAGGCTATAGCTTGAATCAGTAACACTTTCCCCCCAAATTCTCTGGTCAGTGATTTCAACTCTTCATTCCATTTGGCCACATTAAAAAAAAAAAAAAAAAAAAAGGAAAAGAAAGAAAGCATGAAGTGAAAATTTTCTATTTTGGTGGATATTTCTTGACGCCAGATTGGTTTCATGGGGAAATAGATGAGAGCATGTTATTCTCAACTAGAATGGATTTCTATCTATTTTTAGATGATTTTAGATCCAGAGAAAATGGTATTAGCATTTTCTCTAATACCATAACCACATTAGCTTTCTAAGCAAACATGGTGTCACCTGTGAACACTTGGGGGAGTCTTACTAACTTACCATTGAGAGGTATAGCAACTGTTTCTGGTAGCTGTACTGATTGTTATGGATAATGATTTAATACATTTTAAGATTTTAGAGAACTATTAGTAAAGCAGGATCCACAGAAAAGTGTTTCTGGTTGTTAATTATGCCTTCAGGGATGTAAGGGCACCAGCATTTGTTAACTATGTGGTTGAAGAAATAAATCCCACTCTAAGGTGGCTATGTTGGCAGTTTTATCCAGAATATACACTTCTATTTTCTGATCTTTAAAAAGAGAGAGAGAAAAAAATTCATAATAAGTTAGAAGTTATTTCTATCTCATAAAATAGCTTATAAATATCTAAGTTAGTAAATTGTATAAAGCTCTGTTTATGATACATCAAGGGCAAATGACAAAAATTGAATAAATAGGTCTGAATTATCTGATAATTTCATGTATAACTACATGAATTTTTAATCTCACTTTGTCACATGATTTCATTATCTAATTGAAAGAGAAGTTGTCATTTGATATATTTAGGATGTTTGTCCCCTCCAAATCTCATGTTGAAATGTGATTCCCAGTGTTAGAGGTGGGACCTGGTGGGACGTGTTTGGGTCATAGGGATGGATTCCTCATAAATGACTTGGTGCCCTCCTGATAGTAATAAGTTAGTTCCCACTCAGTTAGTTCACATGAGAGCAGGTGGTTTCAAAGAGCCTGGCACCATTCTTGCTCCCTCTCTCACCACGTGAGATACTGGCTCCCTCTTTGCCTTCCAACATAATTGGAAGCTTCCAGAGGCTTCACGAGAAGCAGATACCAGTGCTATGATTCCTGTACAGTTTGCAAAGTCATGATCCAAAATACACCTCTTTTATTTACAAATTACCCAGCCTCAGGTTTTCCTTTATTGTGACACAAAACTCACCATTGCTTTTCTTCTCTACTACAGCGAAGGACACCATCTTTTTCATAGACAAAGAGTAATTCACTTTCCAACTCACCAATCTACATATATTACACCTTTAGACAAAATATGTAATTTTAAAAATCCCTGTTGGCATAGGTTTATAAACTATGGTCAATTTAAACCAATTAAAGGCTTTAAGTGGTCCTATTTTCCAAATATAACGTATAAAACTGAATCAGAAACAAAGGGTCATTTTAACAATGTGTAAAAATTGAAATATAAATTTTAAAAAATCTTAATTACCAAAAAAGCAAATAATCACATGTATTTAGAGATGTCTCCTACCCTATTTGGATTTCTGTTATTTATTTTTATTCACTGTTGTCACTGCCATCAATTTTGTCATTGCCATCATCATTATCACTATCACCATCTAATATTTTACTGTACTCTTCTTGTGAAATCAGCACTGAGACAGGCACTTTGTTAAACATTGAGTCATGAAATCTTCCCAACCACCTGCAAGTTATTATTTCCAAGGTAAAAAAAAGAAAAATAACACATGTAAAATGTAGATAGTTTGCGAATGCAATAAAACACCTTGGATTTAAATTGAGGTTTTTAAAATTCATATCAAATTGCTTTCTACTGCACCATGCTGATCTCTAAGACTACTTAGAGTTCTAAAGATATGTAACATGTTGAAATTAAATTTGGTGTGTTTGTCTTCATCAAATTTTAATTGCGCCTATGCCATCGGCATTCTCTTCTTCTCATTTTTGACTTTTTGTTATTCCATGCTATCTTGTACTTTAATATTGCCTTCCATCTTCTCTGACTTAATGATTGATAGAAAAGCCTTAAAAAGGTGTAGTTTTTAATATTTTGCCATCTCTCTAAATGATGTAAAGTCTTCAGCAAATGATTTAAACTTTTAAGCTTTAGTTTACTCATAATTAAAATACTGTCTATTCTGTGCTCCTCAGAGTGACCACAATTCCCTCGCTTTTCATTGGAGTGACAGTGTTGATAGGGAAAACCTGAAGGAATTATGAGGATATTTCTGTTTTCAATCATAGCACCATACCTTCTTATGAAATGTACTTTTTTCCTCAAGCTGTCAACACTCCATGTCAGCCTCCTTCCTGATGTGTTAGCATGAAAAGATAATGGAAATATAGAAGCCATGTTTATCAATCATTGACTAGATGCCTTATGGGAGATGCAGCTGTGATTGCCCTTTGGTGGTACTAATGAAGTTGTGAATAGCAAAGAAAATGTATATGTGAAAAGAGTTTACAAATAAAACGACTACTGAAGGACAGAGCAATATATGTTATAATATATATTATGTAATAATATAATCTGATATTACATATTAATACAGTAATACTTATCTAATACATATTTTACATATAATGTACTGTCTACTTCACATATAATACATAATGTATTGTCATATATTATTTCTTACAAAGAGCTCATAGTGGTAATTTTAATGTATAAAATAACAAAATAGCATTTTTTTTTGTACAGCATTAAAAAAATAAGGACTAGGCCTTTAAGCCTGAAGGGTGGCTTAAAGCCAGGAATTTGAGGCTAGCCTGGACGACAGAGTGAGATCCCATTTCTACAACAACAACAAAAAATAATTAGCTAGGCACGGTGGCACCTGCCTATAGTTCTAGCTACTAGGGAGGCTGAGGTGAGAGGATCACTTGAGTACAAGAGTTTAAGGCGGTAGTGGTCTATGATCACTCCCTTACACTCCAGCCTGGGCAACAGAATGAGACCCCATTGGCTTAAAAATTAATAAAATAATATTACAATGTTTAAAAATGAGGTCTAAAGGAAAATATAACTCTCCATAGAATTATGCTAGAGCTTGGTAGATGTATATTGAAAGAGCCCGTTTTCCTCAGTCTAGTTTAACTCGAATCTCTGCATCCAGTGTTGACATATCCAGAATAATGTGTAAGCTAAACTTGCATTGAAAGGATATCAAAGGATAGAATGGGTTAATGTTTTGTTCAAATATCTTATTTGAGAAGAAAAGATAGTTTCATGTCTTCTAAATTCCATCATCCAGCTAAAGCCAGTTGAGTTTGATAATACAATTGGGCTTCCACCCCAGTAATCTAACTTCATTTCAGATCTGAATCATAGCTGTGGCAGTTCTGAATTATAGCTCATTTTATTAGAGTGCGGATACACTGACTAAATCTATACAATCCTCTTTTTCACTGACTAGTTCTGCTCCACATGGATAAAAATGGTACAAACAATGTGAGAGCTTCCAGAAACAAAAGACTACCATTGTGCTGAAATTTATTCTTGAAGATGTTTTCTATTGAACATGATAGTTCTGTTTCACCACTGACACTAGGTCTGCTGGTTTTCCCCTCCCGCAACGTACACACCAAAGTTTTAGTATTTTTACAAATTGAGTTCCATTACCACCTTTTTCTTTCCTATCTATGTGTTTCTGCATCCCAATTTGCTCCATATCT
This sequence comes from Homo sapiens, assembly GCF_000001405.40. NCBI lineage: Eukaryota > Metazoa > Chordata > Mammalia > Primates > Hominidae > Homo > Homo sapiens. Next base: position 85,751 of record NT_187555.1, read on the forward strand.
GAGCCTGAAGATCCAGGTTCAGTACATATAACATGATTCTTTTCATATTTAACTTTCATATTAAAATGATTTTAATATTAAATAAATATTTAAAATGTTATACAAAAAGGAAATAATGAACAACATTTGAATACAACTCTGAAATGTTGTTTTGATGTTTACTGAACATATTTAGAAATTATGTAGTACAAATGCTTCTTCTCCAACATTTAATTTTTGAAACATATTTTTAAATGATAAGAGCAAAAATTTTCTATGGGAGAATCATAGCAATTTATGTCATACCACATGAAGTAAAGGATATTTAACCTTGTTGTGAGAAGCTCACTATTAAGATTAGGAAATAGTACAGCAATTTTGAAATGAAAATTTCACTTGAAATTTTCCTTATACATTTTAGCCATGATTATTATACCATATTTATTGAATGCTACAGTTAAATATGACATTATGCAGCAAATTTAACTGAATCCCTTTTTCATATGTCCACCCTGTCAATAATCATGTAAAGCACCAGGCATGGCACTATAGAGAGTAAAGATACTCTCTTGGAGCGCATAGTAGGAATATATAGAGTGTAAAGTAGGAATTAGCACATAAGACCAGATATTATTTAAGTGCATGCATAATAGACACAAAAATATAAGCTCAAAACTGAGACACAGCTAAAGTGACTTGGGGAGTCAGAGGAGAGCTCAGTTCCATCCCAGGGATTCAGAAACACTCTGCCCATGAGAGAGCATTGAAGACCCCTTGAGAAGCAGACAGGGTTTGCATGTTCAGAAGTCATAGGAAGACAGGGGCATTTTTCTCAGTAAGGACAGATTGGCAAAGGCAAACAGTAAAGTGTAGGGTAACTGTAAAGAAAATAACTCATTATGGCAAGAACATGAAATGAAAAGTAATAAGCTATAACATTGGTAAAATAATTTGAGGCATTTTCATAGAGAATTTTTAATGTAAGGCTCCATGAATTATTTTTAATAGCAGTAATCATAGGTATTAAAGATCAGTAACTAATTCTTTTTCTTTAGTCATAAGCATGCAAATGCCAGATTATTCAAATCCTTGAATATGCTACATTCTTAAACTTCTTAAAAAAATTCTTCTTTCAGTGCTAACTGCGTCCACACTACCCCAACCTTTTAATTTGTTCATTTCTTGGTCCCTGTAGCTGAGACAACAGTTATCAAATATTATATGTTATTTCCTGAGTAGAAGTAAATATATGTCTGTCAACTGTGGATTTAGCTGGGAGAAATTGAAAGTAAAGAAATAAGTATATTAAAATCAACCATTTGTGTATTTGTGCTCTTAGAGTAAGGAAGATGACACAAAGAATAATCTTTTCAGTAGCATTCTGCCAGAGATGTGCATTTGTGTTAGCAAAGTTTCAAGTGTAGAGTTTCCTAATCCTTTGTTACGCAGAGAAGGAAAGATTGAGAGTTATGATGGTAAAACTCGGTAGAACTACCTTGCTATAGCCTGGGATACAGACACTAAGAGATTTTAAGGCTCCTTGCAGGTAACGGCCACGGTAAACAAAGCTAGAAATGCATGAGTATAAATAATGTACAAGTTAAGAGTTGACTCTTAACAGTCAAGTTAACAGAGTTAAGTGTTAAGAGTTAACAAGATAAGAGATAACTAAACACTGAATGCATGTATAATCTTCTGGACTATTTGAATTTGTAAATAATTATATATATATTTATCTTACGTTATTTAAAATATACGTTTATATAGTTATTTTTATATTTATATATTTACTTTTATATTTACATAAAATATAAAAATTCTAATATTTATATTAAATTTATAAATTTTACTTTCAGAATTGTATCTATCTAAATCATATTTTTATATATAAACATGTATATGTATGTATATATTATATATGTTTATATTATATTAAAATATATATTTTACATTATATTCATTTACATATGTTACAAATATAATGTAAATAATCATTTGAGTGAGGACAGCTAATCAAAGAAGCACTTGTTAGTGCCCTGCTTTTTTTTTCTAGATAAATATGAAATTGAGGTTAATGCAGAAATAAAATCTATGCAGTTAAAGTATATCAGTTGTTTGTTGTTTGCATTTAACTTAGTAAACACAATATGAAATAATGATTATGTTGAAGGATGAGATTAGTAATCATGTTACCTTACATTTTTATAGTATGCAGCAATTTTAATTTATCGATCCCTAAATTCTATTAAAATTACTGACACAATATATTAGTTTTCAAAGTACATGTATTAATCTGTTCTCATGCTGCTAATAAAGACATACCCAAGATTGGGTAATTCAGAAAGAAATGAAGTTTAATAAACTCACAGTTTTATGTAGCTGGAGAGGCCTCACAATCATGGTGGAAGATAATGGAAGAGAAAAGGGACTTCTTACATGGCAGTGGGCAAAGACAGTTTATACAAGGGAACTCCAGTTTATAAAACCATCAGATCTTCTGAGACTTATTCACTACCACAAGGACAGCATAGAAAAGACCATCCCCCAAGATTCAATTACCTCCCACTGCGTCACTCCCATGACACATGGGAATTATAAGAGCTACAATTCAAGATGAGATTTGGATGGGGACACAGTCAAACCATATTATTCCACCCCGGCCAATCCCAAATCTCATGTTCTCACATTTTAAAACCAGTCATGCCTTCCCAACAGTCCCCCAAGTTCTTAACTCATTTCAGCATTAACTTAGAAGTTCACAGTCTAAAGTCTCATCTGAGAATAGGTAAGTACCTTCTGCTTAGAGCCTGTAAAATCAAAAGCAAGTTAGTCACTTCCTAGACACAATGGGGGTACAAATATTGGGTAAATACACCCATTCCAAGTGGGAGAAATTGGCCACAATGAAGGGGCTACAGGCATCATGTAAGTCCAAAATCCAGCAGGGCAGCCAAATCTTAAAACTCCCAAATGAACTCCTTTGACTTAATTTCTCACCTCCAGGTCACCTTGCTGCAAGAGGTGGTTTCCCATGGTTTTGGGTAGCTCCACCCCTCTGGCTTTGCAGGGTACAGCCCACCTCCTGGCTGCTTTCTCAGGCTGACATTGAGTGTCTGTGGTTTTTCCAGGTGCATGGTGGAAGCTGTCCCCAGGCGCATGGTGCAAGCTGTCAGTGGATCTATGATTCTGAAGTCTGGAGGATGGTGGCCCTCTTCTCACAGCTCCACTAGGCAGTGTCCCAATGGGGACTCTGTCTGGGGGCACCCAGCCCACATTTCTCTTCCACACTGCCCTGGCAGAGGCCCTCCATGAGGTCCCCATGCCTACAGCAAACTTCTGCCTGGACATCTAGGTGTTTTCATACATCTTCTGAACTCTAGGTGGAGGTACCCAAACCTGAATTCTTGACTCCTGCACACCTGCAAGCTCAACACTACATAGAAGTTGCCAAAGCTTGGGGCTTACTCCCTCTGAAGCCATGGCCCAAGTTGTACCTTGGTCCCTTTTAGTCATGGCTAGAGCAGCTGGGACTCAGGACACCAAGTCCCTAGGCTGCACACAGTAGAGGACCCTGGGACTGGCCCATGAGACCATTTTTTCTTCCTAGGTCTCCTGGCCTGTGATGGGAGGGGTTGCCACAAAGGTCTCTGACATGCCCTGGAGATATTTTCTGCATTGTCTTGGCAATTAACATTTGGTTTCTCGTTATTTATGCAATTTTCTGCAGCCAGCTTGAATTTCTACCCACAAAATGGGTTTTTCTTTTCTATTGCATCATCAGGCTCCAAATTTTCCAAAATTTTTAGGCTCTGCTTCCTCTTGAGCAACTTGCTGCTTAGAAATTTCTTCCAACAGATATCCTAAATCATTTCTCTCCAGTTCAAAGTTCCACAGATCTCTAGGGCAGGGCCAAAGTGCCACAAGTCTTTCTGCTAAAATATACCAAGAGTCACCTTTACTCCAGTTCCCAATAAGTTCCTCATCTCCAATCTGAGATAAGCAGCACTTGGTCAAAGCCATTCAACAAGTCTCTAGGAAGTTCCAAACTTTTTCACATTTTCCTGTTTTCTTCTGAGGCTTACAAACTATTTCAACCTCTGCCTGTTACGCACTTCCAAAGTCGCTTCCACATTTTCAGGTATCTATATAGCAGTGCCCCACTACCTTGTACCAATTCACTTTATTAGTCTGTTCTTACACTGCTAATAAAGACATACCTTAGACTGGGTAATTTATAAAGGAAAGAGGTTTAATGGACTCACAGTTCCATGTGGCTGGGGAGTCCTCACAATCATGGTAGAAGATGAAGGAAGAGAAAAGGGACTTCTTACATTGCAGTGGGCAAAGAGAGAGCTTGTGCAAGGGAATTTCTGTTTATAAAACCATCAGATCTCATGAAAATTATTCACTACCATGAGAACAACATGGGAAAGACCCACCCCCATGATTAAATTACCTCCCATCAGGTTCCTCCCATGATACATGGAATTATGGGAGCTACAATTCAAGATGAGATTTAGGTGGGGACACAGCCAAACCATATCAGCACATAATATGAACAAGAGTTATTATTATTATTTTTCAGATGAAACTTGTGGGAGCAGAGCCAAGACATCTACATTGATACCTGAGACTTCTGTGTGGAGTCTTTCTCCTGCATCAATCCACTCTCTGTAAAAATGTTTACTGTTTATGATTAGATTAATTTTAAGCAGCCACCTCACTTTCCCAATGCAATAATTTAGAAAACTCAGTGGAATTTTGATTATGTTACCTACATCCTATGGGCCATTTTACCAGGAAATGAGTCACAAGCAAATTGATATCTTGAGACCTCTTTTGGAAGAGCTTACAGAGAGAAAAAAGTTTCAAAACATTGATAAAGCAGGAGCTGCTTTATTATATAGATTATTATTATTATTTTTGAGATAGGATCTCACTCTGTCACACAAGCAGGAATGCAATGGTGCCATCTTGGTTCACTGCAACCTCTGCATCCTGGGCTCAAGAAATTCTCCTGTCTCAGCCTCAGAAGTATCTGGGACTACAGGCATGAGACACCATACACTGCTAAATTTTGTATTTTTAGTAGAGATCGGTTTTGCCATGTTGGCCAGGCTGGTCTCCAACTCCTGGGCTCAAGCAATTCACCCACCTTGGCCTCTCAGATCACTGGGATTACAGGTGTGAGCCACAATGCCCAGCCTATAGGTGAATTTTTATCAGTAAGTAAAAGTTGCTGAAACTCAACCTGGATCTTTTACCTGTCTTATTAAACAAATTAGAGGAGAAAGAGGATAGAGCTATTGGTTAATGAAATGAGGTTAATCAATTGAAATGAATGGGTTTACTGTTTTGATTGAATTTTAATTTAAGACATAATACCTTCTAATTTCAAGCAATGTGTTCACAATGACATGAAGAGAAAATCTATATAAAGATTTTTTTAATTTCCAAATTTTAATAGAATACTTCATTTTAAAATTAGTATTAAAATTACAGTTGGTACTAAACAAAATTATCTGAAAAAAATTTTCTATATAGCTATCACTAGTTCCATTTATTACTAAAACAAGAAAATATAGATTTCCATCTGGTCATGATTACAAAATGTCATGTAATGTAAGATTTACCACACATTTAATTATAGCTCTTCAAGAAAAGAAAGGCTAAATTAAATACATACATCTATTTTAATGCATATTATAATTTTAGTTACGTACAAATGTGAACAAGTATAAATCTGATAATTGAAAAAATAAAATAATTTTCTGTAATAATTATAAGATCATTAAAACAATTAAAATTACAGTCAAGTCATGGTTATTTTGGCTTTATTAAAAATACGAACTGTGAATATACCATTCTTGGTTTTAAAACTTACCTCTGGCACTTTTTGCTTTGTAGCCCTCAGAAGTGGCTTAACCTTACTCTTATTTGGTTTCTACTTCTATAAAACAATAATAATAATACGTATCTCATTAGAATAGTTGAGGGAAAAATTCAGCTAATGCTTGTTAAATGATAACCAGACTGACCAATTTGGTCAAACCCCATCTCTACTAAAAATACAAAAATTAGCCAGGTGTGGTGGCATGCACCTGTAATCCCAGCTACTCAGGAGGCAGAGGCAGGAGAATTGCTTGAACCCGGGAGGCGGTGGTTGCAGTGAGCTGAGATCACCTGCCACTGTACTCCAGCCTGGGGGACAGAGCAAGACTCTGTCTCAAAAAAAAAAAAAAAAAAAGGAAAGTCTTAGCATATAGTAAGTATTCAATTAATGCTAGCTCTCATTATTATCATTATTATGATTTTATATAAGCTATTGTTCAATGTCTATGTTTATGAATGAGTAAATTAAAATATATTAATTAAAATTAACTAACTATAGCAGTGTTTCTTGTTAGTCCAATATTCTAAATTTAATTAAAAAGTATTTTATTTCAGAAAATACCTTTTTATGTGATGAAACTTTCAAATTTGAACTTTTACCAGACTTCACATCTTTGAACTGAATTCGAACATGTCCCTTTGTAGGGACATGGATGAAGCTGGAAACCATCCATGATGTAAAGTCTTCAGCATTTAAAAACATTTTTGGTATCTTTATCTTTGTTTGCTACTTCTTAAATTTTTTTGTGTCTGTGGCTTGCTTTGTACTTGAAAGCACCAATTATTGAAAATAATTGCTCTTGGACATCATTCTCTCCTTCCTCCAAAAAAATAAAAAATAAAAATTCATGGTTTTATTATTTCTTTTACCATTTCTTTTACCATTTTTTCTCAGTTATCTAGTAAAGTCTTTTAAAGTCTATCTGATTTTATTTTAGAATAGTTCTTTTACTATTTCTTGAATGTTTTTCTTTTCTTCTTAACCATTATTAAGTAACAGCATTTTTAACCCATAATGAATATTTTAGAGTAATTTTAAAGAATGGTTTTGAATGAAAGATGGGTGTTAGGTTTATTTCAAAAAGCCACCTATTTTGCTTATAGTGACATTAAACCCACCACTACATCATAAAAATTTAACTACAAATTATATCAGAAATCCACTGATTCCTCTTTGTCTCCACAGTCACTATATTTACGGGCATCAACTTCACTTCTCATCTTCACAACTTCAGGAACACTCACTGGTCTCCAGCATTCCACTCTTTCCTCATTTAATTTATTCTTCACACAGCAGCCAAGCTGTATGTTTTAAAATACAAATCAATCATTCCATGACATTTATTAAGTCATTCCAATGAATTCCTATTACACAGTAATAAAAAATCTTTTTAAAATTATGAAATGAAACTCACTTCCAGGGAAATGTACGATATATAAATGTATAATGTAACTAATAATTATACGTTAATACCAGCTGTCTTAGTTTTGGGGTTAACCAAGCTTAGGAAAAGCTTAAGACAAATGCTTAGATGCACGCAGTATGTTTGGAAGGAACTGCCAGGGACCAGGAGCAAGGAGTGAGATAAAGGCAAAAAGGCCAAAATGAGAAAACTCTATTGACCTTACTCCAGTGGCAAGTACAAGTTCTACTCCATTAGGAACTCAGGGAAACATAACGAATGGTTCCTGTAGTTGTCTGTTGAAAAGATAGAATGGATCATTTATCCATCAGCTTTCATCCACATTTTTTGAAGATTGCCCCAGGGAGAATCTACTTTCCCACATGTGACAGACTTCTTATGCCTTCACGCTTAGTGGACTCCCACTGCTTCTGAGACAGTCCTGTGGCAGAAATCTGAAATATGTACAGAACAATGGAGGTGAGATACCACCAACTTCAGGTCATGTTAACATGGAACTTTTCAATGCATTAAAGGTCAAAGTTAATTTGGTGGTCAAAAGGATGTGATATTGGGCAGCAGAAAACGTCAATCAAAATCCATCCCATTAATTACTCACATATTCTGGTGCCCCAAATTAAATCTCCTCTTTAGAATATTTCAAAATAGTGGTCAGGTACAATCTCAATAAAATACTTATTTAAGAAGGCTGTTGTAACAAATTAGTCTTCTATAGAAGCTGTCTTATCATCTCCCTCTTTTACTAACCTTACTAGCTTTCCTTTACTTTCAGTGAATACTTCAGCTGATCTAGAATGCTAACCTTGTGGAGTGACCCAGACTGCCATATCTGAAAGATCTGGGCTATTGGTTTCATTGTCCTTGCTGCCAGGTATGGTTGCTGAAAATACCTAAACAAGGTTATTACAGGCCATGAAGCAAAAGATGAGTCCTCTGAGTTTAACACGTATGTATACTACTCTTTTACTCCATTCTGTTGCAGAAAACTTCTCTTGAAAATAATTGGGATCAAAGACTCTATTCGTTATGGTGTTTACTGGTTATCAAATTGCTCAAAGTAACCAGAGAGCAGGGTTGCTGATTATTAGGGCTATCCTCAGTGGTTTGTCATTGAAGTCTTATCTTCAACGCCACAGAAGGCACATAGTTCCAAGGGCATTCAGAATACTAATCTACTTCCTATTCTTCAGGATTAGTTAGCATGATATTAATAATATAAGACCAGTGTGGAAGTCTAAGGAATAATAACTTAATTAAGGCTCCTGGGACTATGTCATTTCTGAGAATAGGAGAGTCACCATAGCCATAAAGCAAAGATGGTGAATTTGTACTGTAGTACTTTGCGCCTAAAAGTGAATGGGTTTTTGATCCTCTTTAATGATGGAAATTGGAAATAACACGTTTTTCATTTCAGCAACAGCATATCAAGTGCTGGAGGATTTGTTAATTTGCTTAACTAAAGGGGCACAAGTTTAAGGAAGTACATCTAACCCACAATAATTGGATTTGTGCAAGGACTACACATGCCAATTAACTGTGAAAAGGATGAGACGATGCCTCCTGTGTCCTTTGTCTTTGAAGAAAATGATTACCTACCTCTGGTAGAATTCAGCTGTGAATCCATCTGGTCCTGGACTTTTTTTGGTTGGTAGGCTAGTAATTATTGCCTCAATTTCAGAACCTGTTATTGGTCTATTCAGGGATTCAACTTCTTCCTGGTTTAATCTTGGGATGGTGTATGTATCCAGGAATTTATCCATTTCTTCTAGATTTGCATAGAGGTGTTTATAGTATTCTCTGATGGTAGTTTGTATTTCTGTGGGATCGGTGGTGATATCCCCTTTATCATTTTTTTATTGCATATATTTGACTCTTCTCTCTTTTCTTCTTTATTAGTCTTGCTAGAGGTCTATCAATTTTGTTGATCTTTTCAAAAAACTACCTCCTGGATTCATTGATTTTTTGAAGGGTTTTTTGTGTCTCTATCTCCTTCAGTTCTGCTCTCATCTTCATTATTTCTTGCCTTGTGCTAGCTTTTGAATTTGTTTGCTCTTGCTTCTCTAGTTCTTTTAATTGTGATGTTAGGGTGTCTATTTTAGGTCTTTCCTGCTTTCTCTTGTGGGCATTTAGTGCTATAAATTTCCCTCTACACACTGCTTTAAATGTGTCCCAGAGATTCTGGAATGTTGTGTCTTTGTTCTTATTGGTTTCAAAGAACGTCTTTATTTCTGCCTTCATTTCGTTATTTACCCAGTAGTCATTCAGGAGCAGGTTGTTCAGTTTCCATGTAGTTGTGCGGTTTTGAGAGAGTTTCTTAATCCTGAGTTCTAATTTGATTGCACTGTGCTCTGAGATAGTTTGTTGTGATTTCTGTTCTTTTACATTTGATGAGGAGTGCTTTACTTCCAACTATGTGGTCAATTTTGGAATAAGTGCGACGTGGTGCTGAGAAGAATGTATATTCTGTTGATTTGGAGTGGAGAGTTCTGAAGATGTCTGTTAGGACTGGTTGGTGCAGAGCTCAGTTCAAGTCCTGGATAGCCTTTTTAATCTTTTGTCTCATTGATCTGTCCAATATTGACAGTGGGGTGTTAAAGTCTCCCATTGTTATTGTGTGGGAGTCTAAGTCTCTTTGTAGGTCTCTAAGGACTTGCTTTATGAATCTAGGTGCTCCTGTATTAGGTGCATATATATTTAGGATAGTTAGCTCTTCTTGTTGAATTGATCCCTTTACTGCTATGTAATGGCCTTCTATGTCTCTTTTGATCTTTGTTGGTTTAAAGCCTGTTTTATCAGAGACTAGGATTGCAAACCCTGCTTTTTTTTGGTTTCCATTTGCTTAGTAGATCTTCCTGCACCCCTTTATTTTGAGCCTATGTGTGTCTCTATACATGAGATGGGTCTCCTGAATACAGCACACTGATGGGTCTTAACTCTTTATCCAATTTGCCAGTCTGTGTCTTTTAATTGGGGCATTAGGCCATTTACATTTAAGGTTAATATTGTTATGTGTGAATTTGATCCTGTCATTATGATGTTAGCTGGTTATTTTGCCTGTTAGTTGATGCGGTTTCTTCCTAGCATCGATGGTCTTTACAATTTGGCATGGTTTTGCAGTGGCTAATATGGGTTGTTCCTTTTCATGTTTAGTGCCTCCTTCAGGAGTTCTTGTAAGGCAGGCCTGGTGGTGACAAAATCTCTTAGCATTTGTTTCTCTGTAAAGGATTTTATTTCTCCTTCGTGTATGAAGCTTAGTTTGGCTGGATATGAAATTCTGGATTGAAAATTCTTTTCTTTAAGAATGTTGAATATTGGCCCCCACTCTCTTCTGGCTTGTAGAGTTTCTGCGGAGAGATCCACTGTTAGTCTGATGGGCTTCCCTTTCTGGGTAACCCAACCTTTCTCTCTGGCTGCCCTTAACATTTTTTCCTTCATTTCAACTGTGGCAAATCTGACAATTATGTGTCTTGGGGTTGCTCTTCTAGAGGAGTATCATTGTGCTGTTAGCTCTGTTTTTCCTGAATCTGAATGTTGGCCTGCCTTGCTAGGTTGGGGAAGTTCTCCTGGATAATATCCTGAAGAGTGTTTTCCAGCTTGGTTGCATTCTCCCTGTCAGTTTCAGGTACACCAATCCAACGTAGATTTGGTCTTTTCACATAGTCCCATATTTCTTCGAGGCTTTCTTGATTTCTTTTTACTCTTTTTTCTCTAAACTTGTCTTCTCGCTTCATTTCATTCATTTGATCTTCAGTCACTGATACCCTTTCTTCCACTTGATTGAATTGGCTACTGAAGCTTGTTGTGCATGATTCACGTAGTTCTCGTGCCATGGTTTTCAGCTCCATCAGGTCATTTAAGGTCTTCTCTACACTGTTTACTCAAGTTAGCCATTTGTCAAATCTTTTTTCAAAGTTTTTAGCTTCCTTGCGATGGGTTCAAACATCCTCCTTTAGCTCAGAGAAGTTTGTTATTACCGACTTTCTGAAGACTACTTCTGTCAACTCGTCAAAGTAATTCTCCATCCAGATTTGTTCCATTGCTGGTGAGGAGCTGCGATCCTTTGGAGGAGAAGGGGCGCTCTGGTTTTTAGAATTTTCAGCTTTTCTGCTGTGTTTTCTCCCATCTTCGTGGTTTTATCTACCAGAGGTACAAAGAGGAGCTGGTACCATTCTTTCTGAAACTATTCCAATCAATAGAAAAAGAGGGAATCCTCCCTAACTCATTTTATGAGGCCAGCATCATCCTGATACCAAAGCCTGGCAGAGACACAACAAAAAAAGAAAATTTTAGACCAAAATCCCTGATGAACATTGATGCAAAAATCCTCAATAAAATACTGGCAAACAGAATCCAGCAGCACATCAAAAAGCTTATCCACCAAGATCAAGTTGGATTCATCCCTGGGATGCAAGGCTGGTTCAACATATGCAAATCAATAAGCGTAATCTATCACATAAATAGAACCAAAGACAAAAACCACATGATTATCTCAATAGATGCAGAAAAGGCCTTTGACAAAATTCAACAGCCCTTCATGCTAAAAACTCTCAATAAACTAGGTATTGATGGAACGTATCTCAAAATAATAAGAGCTATTTAAGACAAACCCACAGCCAGTATCATACTGAATGGAAAATACTAGAAGCATTCCTTTTGAAAACTGGCACAAGACAGGGATGTCCTCTCACCACTCCTATTCAACATAGTGTTGGAAGTTCTAGCCAGGGCAATCAGGCAAAAGAAAGAAATAAAGGGTGTTTAATTAGGAAAAGAGGAAGTCAAATTGTCCCTGTTTGCAGATGACATGATTGTATATTTAGAAAACCCCATCATCTCAGCCCAAAATCTCTTTAAGCTGATAAGCAACTTCAGCAAAGTCTCAGGATACAAAATCAATGTGCAAAAATAACGAGCATTCTTATACACCAATAGCAGACCAACAGAGAACAAAATCACGAGTGAACGCACATTCACAGTTGCTACAAAGAGAATAAAATACCTAGGAATACAACTTACAAGGGATGTGAAGGACCTCTTCAAGGAGAACTACAAATCACTGCTCAATGAAATGAAAGAGGATACAAACAAATGGAAGAACATTCCATGCTCATGGACAGGAAGAATCAATATTGTGAAAATGGCCATACTGCCCAAGGTAATTTATAGATTCATTGCCATCCCCATCAAGCCACCAATGACTTTCTTCACAGAATTGGAAAAAACTATTTTAAGGTTCATATGAAACCAAAAAAGAACCAGCATTGCCAAGATAATCCTAAGCCAAAAGAACAAAGCTGGAGGCATCACATTACCTGACTTCAAACTATACTACAAGGCTACAATAACCAAAACAGCATGGTACTGGTACCAAAACAAGAAACATAAACCCATGGAACAGAACAGAGGCCTCAGAAATAACACCACACATCTACAATCATCTGATCTCTGACAAACCTGACAAAAACAAGAAACAGGGAAAGGATTCCCTATTTAATAAATGGAGCTGGGAAAACTGGCTAGCCACATGTACAAAGCTGGAACTGGATCCCTTCCTTACACCTTATACAAAAATTAATTCAAGATCGATTAAAGACCTAAATGTTAGATCTAAAACCATAAAAACCCTAGAAGAAAACCTAGGCAATACCATTTAGGACATAGGCATGAGTAAGGACTTCATGACTAAAACACCAAAAGCAATGGCAACAAAAGCGAAAATAGACAAATGGGATCTAATTAAACTAAAGAGCTTCTGCACAGCAAAATAAACCACCTTCAGAGTGAATAGGCAACCTACAGAATGGGAGAAAATTTTTGCAATCTACCCATCTGACAAAGGGCTAATATCCAGGGTCTACAAAGAACTTAAACAAATTTACAAGAAAAAATCAAACAACCCCATTAAAAAGTGGGCAAAGGATATGAACAGATACCTTTCAAAAGAAGTCATTTATGCAGCCAACAGACACATGAAAAAATGCTCATCATCACTGGTCATCAGAGAAATGCAAATCAAAACCACAATGAGATACCATCTCACACCAGTTAGAATGGTGATCATTAAAAAGTCAGGAAACAACAGGTGCTGGAGAGGATGTGGAGAAATAGAAACGCTTTTACACTGTTTGTGGCAGTGTAAACTAGTTCAACCATTATGGAAGACAGTGTGGCGATTCCTCAAGGATCTAGAACTGGAAATACCATTTGACCCAACGATCGTATTATTGGGTATATACCCAAAGGATTATAAATCATGCTACTATGAAGACACATGCACACATATGTTTATTGTGGCAATGTTCACAATAGCAAAGACTTGGACCCAACCTGAATGTCCATCAATGATAGATTGGATTAAGAACGTGTGACACATACACAACATGGAATACTATGCAGCCATAAAAAAGGATGTGTTCATGTCCATTGTAGTGACATGGATGAAGCTGGAAACCATCATTCTCAGCATACTATTGCAAGGACAGAAAACCAAACATTGAATGTTCTCACTCATAGGTGGGATTTGAACAATGAGAACACTTGGACACAGGGCAGGGAACATCACACACCGGGGTGTGTCATGCGGTGGGGGGATGGGGGAGGGATAGCATTAGGAGAAATACCTAATATAAATGATGAGTTAATGGGTGCAGTAAACCAACATGGCACATGTATAAATATGTAACAAACCTGCACGTTGTGCACATGTACCCTAGAACTTAAAGTAAAAAAAAAAAAAAGTGATGACCTATGTGATTCTGGCAGGGATGTATATAATTTCTTATTTATAATCTTGGATACAGAGAGGTAATTTTAGTGGTTTCCTCTTGGCCTCTTTTACATAAGGCAAATTATCTGTAGGTCACATATCCTTGTGTGTGATCTTTGCCACCTGGTACATACTTCATTGCAGTAGAGGCTAAAGGCAATTATAACCAAGGGGAGGGCACAGACTTAATGAACTCACTGTGCAATAAACTTGGGCCAGGATTTAACTTCCCTAAACTTACCTCTAACAAAGGGGTCATATGGAAAATTGAGGCAGCACAGATACTGTATGTAATACCTCTTGATATGCCTGGCTACTGGACTTTCCCCAATGTATAGTTTTTTTTTGTTTTAAATGGGTTTAAGTTATTTTCTTAAAATAATTCAAGAAATATCTATTGTATGTATTCGAGGTAGTGTTGCAACATTCTTGCACAAGGAGACTCAGCCAAATATGCATTGTGAAGAAATTGAAATATAATTGATATGATTAACATAAAATTCACTTTTTATGTGTATAATTAACTAGTTTTCAGTATATTTACAAGGTTATGTAACCATCACCACTATATAATTTCAGAAAATTTTCGTCATGCCAAAAGAAACTCTGTAACCATTAGCAGTCACCCCGTTTCTCCCTGCCTCATTCCATAGCAATCAGTAATCTACCTTCCGCTTATTCTGTAAAATCCTTATAAATAGACTCCTGTAATATGTGGCCTTTTGTGACTGCCTTCTTTCATTCAATATCATGTTTTCAAGGTTTGTCCAAGTTATAGCACACATTCATACTTCATTCCTTTTAATGTCAAATAATTTTCCTTTGTATGGTATGCCATCCAAAACAACAATATAGTAGGAGATCTTAGATCCAGGTAAATTTTAGTTACTTGGAGAAAAAGTATGATTTTCAAAAACTGGTGAATGAAACATTGGAAATCGACATTAAAAAATTCACTTTTTTCCCAGATCAAAATAGATTTACTTTCACTAAAGATAAAAACAGAAAGCAATGCCATAGCCTGTGTCTATATAATGCACACACACTGATAAATATATCCTCAAAATAAACAACATACTCCTAAGGATAATTTCCTATAAAAACCAAAAGATACATTTTATGACAGAAAACCAAAAATGAAATTTTTTTTTAAGAAAAAAGAAAAGGCAGCAAAAGCTAAGATGAATCCAATTTTGGCTTTATTTTGTCTTGTATATCTATTAAATTTTAATTTATATATGCTTCTGTTTATATTACAAACTAACCTTTTTATTTCTAATAATTTGTTTTTATTACACCTATCTACTCATATTAATAGATCAGTTTTTATATTTGTTATTTGAGCAGCATAATCTATTCTTTTATTTGGCCCCTTGCAGTATTGTGTTTGAGATAGTCCTCTTGTAAATTGCATATCGTTGTTCAATAATAGAAAAATACATTGCATACATTTTCTTTGACTAAAGCATTCCAGAATATTATGTAATTGAAATTTTTATACTTTCCTGTAAAGCTGGAAGAAAAAAATATTAAATCCAAGTAATAAATTAATGTGAAAATTTAGATACTGGCATTGATAAATCTGACAACCTCAATCTGTAAAAAAAAGATTAATTCATTATTCATATTTTCAATAGGATCACAGAGAACACATCCATTTCTCAAATTTGAACTAGAAAAAAATTTATTAAACTTCTATGTAAGAAAATAAGAATGTTAAGAGAATACTGTATAACACAATACTCCTTGAGGGACTTGAAAAGTCAATGTAGTGAATGATTATGTGTCTTTATATTTCCTTTCACCAAAGACCCCTCTTAATAAAAGGCTTTTCAAGTCTAGCTAGAACAGCTTTCATGTGCCTTTGCTTTCATTGAACATTTATGGTATTGTTCCTTCATTACCAGATAAATTTGTCATGAGATTTCTAGTTTATGAAACATACGTGTGTGTGTGTGTGTGTGTGTGGCCAATTTTCTTAAATGTCCTATAAAAACTTGATACATTGCTCATTATTGAGGCTTTAAAATTTGATACATATGTTAAAGGAAAAGTGACTGAGGCAAGAGTCTCAATCAATGGAGTTTAATTGAGCCAAAGTTCGATGTAGCGCTCGGGAGAATCACAAGTCACAGGAACTTCTGTGACTTGTGCTTTCTAAAGAGTGTTTTGGGAACTCAGAATTTAAAGGAAAAAAAGCTGTTTTTTAACTGGGTAAATTTTTTAAATTAAAAAATGAAAACAAATAAAAAGAAAAAGCAAGCAGAAGGGAAAATGGGACGGAAGGTGGGCAGGTAGGCAAAAGGTTACATTCCAGTGAGGCTCTGATAAGCCCTCAGTAAATCTACCTTTTACATTAGTTAAGGTAAACCTGTGAAAAGAAGAAGTAGAGGAAAAGTCAATTATGCATCAGTCTCAGGGTAAGAAGAAGGATGATTTCTGGTCTTGTTTGGTACCTGTGAAGATATGCTTGTAGTTGACATTGTCATATTTACTGTGGATGCTTATAATGATTGGCTTGTCTATGTGGTTTGTAAACTTTTCAAAATTTTTTTCTATTGCTATTTTTCATTATTTTCCATTGAATTTTTTAGTGATTTTCTTTATAATTATGACTTTTATATTTTTTGTAGTGACCTATTTTATCATTTAGTTTCTTTTGTTAGCATTAAATGCTAACATTTTATTATTTTTTCCATTTTTTCCTTAGAAGTTATCAATGAGCTTCTTCTACTTGTCTTTCTCCCTTCTCCAAATTATTTAATTATGTTATGTCTACTTGGTCAGAATATAGGACATTGACATATTATTCTTTCACTCATTTTTACTTTTCTTTTTCTTGGATGTATGATTAAACATATTCGATGTTCATTATCAGAACTTGTGCAAAGATATCCCCAGTCATATCTTATTTGGGTGAAGCTCTTTTTATAGTAGGATGCTCTGGAAGACCCTGTGTGTATGATTTTTCCTGAAATCTCATGTGTTTACAATCCTAGTACAATAGCTTTGCTACTTGAAGAATAGCTTGGCTCCATATAAAACTCATGGATTATAATTTATTTTCTTGAGATTTTTGAAAATATTATTCACTGATATCTCCTTTGTATACTGTTGTTGAATATTCTGAACAACCTAGCTGTCTTTCCATTTCAATTTTCTCAATCTTTTTCCCTGGATTCAAGTAATGTCATTGGTATGTATCTATAGTGTGTCATTAGGATCAGGATTTTCAGTTACATGATGAGCCTGTTTTATTGGTAGATTCAAGTGTCTCTTTTTTTCTGGAAATTTTGCTCATGTTATACTTTGAATATCATTTCTGTCCTATTTTTCCCCCAGAGATGTTAACTGTATGTATGTTGAAGTTGGTTTGTTTATTATCTAAATACATCACTTCTCTAATCCTTTCTACTTCTTAATTCCACTATTTAAACAATTTTTGGATTATTTTCTTTTCTTTCCTCAATGTATTTTATTATGTCTTTAGTGAAAACTATTATTTCTTATGTATTTTAGATTTAGTCTCAATTCTGGGATGAATTTCTGCCCCCTACCTGCTTTAATTTCTTTCCCGAATTTGGTCAACTTTTGTTTTCACATCTTCTTACGTTTTTCTTATTTCTGTTCTGGATTTTAAATCTTGATTGTTTTTTCTTTTATTCTGCAAGTGAAATAATATGTTACACTATTTTTCTTCTTTAGGATTGCTTTGTTATTGAATATTTTTATCCGCCATAGTATTTTGATCTTTTGTTCAGTTACTATCTCTTTATAGATATTCCCCACAATTTTCCATTTTGAAATGTCATATAATTTTCTTCTTCAGGAAAATGATCATATATAGTGATCATATAAAGTGAAATGCATTTTAAGTAATAAATTGGTGGTATTTAGGGAAGGGAGGAATTTGCCTTTTCTGATTTTCTAATTTTCTTATTTCTAAGATTCTTAATTTTCACTTTTCTGTTCCTTGTCTTTTTTTCATCAACAAACCAAAACCTCCAGAGGATGTCATCCCTTCCCAGTCATCTCCCCCATTCCTAGAAGTAGTGCCTTCTTAAAATTGCTTTTGATGTCCATAGTAGCCAGTGTCTTAAAAATACCAGATCTTAGATTATTTTCCACATTTTTCCACTTAGGGAAATTTTGAGGTAATTTTTATGTATGTTCTACCATTGTTGGTCCCATGCTCCTCTCCTCTTTTCCATAAAAATCTACACCCAACTCTCTCAACCAGCATGCCCTGTGGATGCCTCTGCCTGTTTTGAATGCTTCATTACACATGAATTTTAGCTAATAGTGATTTATAACTTCTCTATAATGTGTAGGTATGAAAGATAATGGATTATTTACTCTTCATAATATGTGTGATATTGGTAGGATGTGTGCAAAGACTGAGTGATACAATAAGAATTTATTCTATCAATGTATGATTTTTTCAAAAAATATAGGTTAATAGAATTGATTTAATGACTATAAAGAAGACAAATATAATGGGACAATAATTATGGGAGAAATTAGGAATATAACTAAGATAAACGTGCTCACATTTAGATGAATTTCTGATACACTGAAATTTGAAAAGAACTGTTACTTACTGAAAATTAGAGTGATGGAAAATTTCTCATTGTATTTTACAATGTTGATCTAACACTAAAATTCAAAGATGAAAATTAGCATAAAAACTTATGAATCAATTATGTACACTCATGAACATAAAATCTATTCATTATAACAACAGAAAATAAACTCCTCCAAAATTGTATTATAATAGATCATAGAAAATTAAAATTTAATTTCAGAATACAGGAATTTGGCAAAACTAAGAAATGACATAAATATATTAAGCAGAAATCAATATGTTTAAAGGGTGGTGGATAAAATAAAAATATACATCTCTTTTTAAGTTTATTAATATTTTTAAAAATCACATGTAACAGCTTGAGTATTGAGGATTTTCTTAACGTCAAAAGTAACGTCTATCAGGAAATAAGACTCAACTTCATATTAAATGATAGATTATTTCTTTAAAGAAATGTCCCACTCTCTGAAGTCAACTATTCTAGAATTATTAAAGATGTATTCTGAATTTACTTATTATCAAAAGTTACAGTAGCATAATGAAAATGCCAGAATATAAATTTCTAATTTTATAATAAAAGCTGGGTAAAATTAATAAATGTACTCTTTTGAAGATATACCAGTGCTTGTGTCAAAATAACTCTTGAAAATAAAAAAATAATTCACGAGGTTTGAGTAAACATGTTGAGATAGAATTAAGAAATATTTTCTTTAAACTCCAGATCACTTTTATTTCTTTCAGAATAAAAATATAGTGAAACCAGAAATTATCTGAGTCCCTTGAAGAAAAAATCATATTTTGTTTCCAAAGTAGTCCATAGTGAGGACAGTTAACTCAGATAATAACCAACATAAGACCTGTTCTGGTTCCTACTCTACTCCTCTGTCAAAGACAGGTTAAATCTCCCTCTTTCTTCTGTCAAAGAAAAATTGCATTGAACATGTTAAACAGTCAAGGAATACTTTGTTCAAGACTACTTCAATTGGTGAGAAAGACTCTACTAAAACAAAAGTTAAGAGAATTTTTTTAGCATTGTGGAGAACAGTGAAAAAATAGAAGAAGTTAAGGGAAATATTGGCTAATATAATTAGGCCGTGTTGGGTATTAATAACTGGTGCCTATGGAAGTTAGGCTTTCACCTTGACATATAAACTGAAAGATAGGGGCTTGCCATGGTTTGATGTGCTCCCCAAAAAGCATGTGTTGAAAACTTAATCCCCACTGCAATGGTGTTTTCAGGTGAGGCCTAATGAGAGGTGATTAGGTCTTGAGGGCTCTGCCTTCATGAATTGATTAATGTAATTATCACAGCCTACTTTTCTTTCTCTCCCTTTCTCTCTCACTCTCTCACCTTCTGCCACAGGATGATATAGCAAGAAATCCTTTATCAGAGGCTGGCATCTTGATAATGAACTTTCCAGCCTCCAGAACTGTAAGAAATATATATATATATATATATATATATATATATATATATATATATTTTTTTTTTTTTTTTTTTTTTTTTCGGTAAATTACCCATTCTTAGGTATTCTGTTGTAGCAGCAGAAAGTGGGCTAAGACAGAGCTCTATCTTTCTGAATGATTGCATTCCAAAGGGATGACTTAAAGGTCCTTGAGAAAGACACTCCTGGATGGTAAAACTGGCAAGAAGTGAAAGAATATTTACATCTCAAAGGAGGAGAGAAAGAATTTATAATTGCAAGTTTTCTAAAGTAATGCTTTCAGAAAAGCAAGGTCAGGAGTCCATAGTCAGAAATAAATCCATCTAAAGTTTAGGCCAGTGAAAAGCAATATTAAGGTCATCTTGGTAAGTTTCAATAATTATATTTTCACTGACCTTTTAAAAATATGTTTATGTCTCTTTTTCCTTCCCCAAACTGTGAGCTTCTTCAGAATAAATGTTATATTAAATTATACAGCATATTATTTTATATTATTAGTATTGTATTCCCTTCTCCCTATTCAGGCTCTTTGGTTATAGCTTCTCAAACTGATGTTGGGCTGGCTTTATGATTTGTTTTGTCCAAGAAAAAATTAGCTGTTTGAGAAAAGTCTTTGTGCATTAAGACTTTCTCTCTTGCTGCTTTTTGGATCCTTGGTGTTACCAACTGGAGGAGCATGGGGTTAGTCCATAAGTGGGAAAGAGAACTTCATGGGACAAAAACAAAGTGTTCTAGCCTAGAACAAATAGCCCAGTCCTAGAAAAGATCTAAATCAAATAACCTGCCAAATGCCAGATACATAGTGTGGCCATCCTAGAATAATCAGTTTTAGCTGAGCTACCAGCATAACACAGATATTAGATAGACTGACCCATAACAAAATAATGACTCTACCTCAGAACTGAAAGAAATAATGAATATTTTCTTGCTAAAGAACTAAGTTTTCGGGGTTTTGAAAGCACTAAAAATTAATTGATAGACTACCTCTAGCCACTACCATAATGCTTATACTGAGTGTCTAAGTACTTTTCTGAATAAACAAGCAAGTTAATTACATAAATTTTGTATAATAAATTACAGCTGAAATTGGAGTGAGAGATCTGAATTAAGCTATATAGGAAAACAACTCATAATTTACATAAAGCACTTCACATAGAATCAAAGTTATGTTAAGAAACTCATAAAATATGATATTCTCATCTAAGTTTCTGGTAGGGCCAGATTTGATAAAATTTGACCTAATTTTAGAAATATATATGTTTACCCAAATAATGTTCTAGAGTTGTGTATTATATGTTAGCCTGACCATAAAGATAATTAGGGTGAAGCATCATCATTCTCCTTTATATGTTGTGCGGAGAGGCCACTCTTCAGCGTAAGTGTATGCATTAATTTAGTATGGTCCTACATTTGTGTACTCTAAGAGAACCCTAACAATTAAAAAAGCAGGCATACTTGAGTTGACATTACTTAGGCATACACTTGTGGATGCACACACCCACACACATAAACAAGGCTTATCATTTGATACTCTAAAATCCATGCACACCCATGCTAATTAGTTCATGACTAATATATTCTCTCAATGTGGAAGTGTTTTTCTCTTACACTCTGTCAAATATTTTATAAAAATAAATATTCATTATTAGTACAGGGTAGGTATCATCTATCTATCCTAATTCTATCCTAGATATTACTATCTATCCTAACATCATTAGCAATAAGGTTATGCATCAGGAAAAAATTAACGTTTTCAAAAAGTTAACAGTACCTATGTCTTCATAGTATTTATTACATTCAGAAATTTTAATTTACCTACCTTTCTTATCCATAGTTTCTAATCTTATGAAATAAGCATGCATTTGTTCTGTAGTAAGAAAAATAATTTTTATTCTGTTATTTAAATAAAATGTATATATACTCATAGTTGAGTAATAAAACTTTTCATCTAGATAAGTTTTTTAAAAATGTGTAATACATTAAATTAAATTTATTGTGAGTAGGAATTACCTACATTTATATATTTAAATAAATAGGTTTTTAATAAAATAACATTTACAGAGTTGCAGTCATTGTTGTATTAAGAGTTCTAAATACTTTTATGTATGTTAGGCTGACCTGAAAGATCCAGAATCGATCTGATTTTCCTTGATCTGTCCTCAAGATGCTGGATATATTTGGAAGTTAATTTTTACCATATTGGAAAGATGTAACCACTGACCACCCAGTGAATGGGTGTAAATACACCAGCTTCCTAATACTCTGTTTGTTATTACAGAGGCTTGTGTTTTGCATTTGCAGAGTTTCTCCTTGGATTATTCTCCAGATTCCACTACATAGTTGGCTTAATAGCCCACCTGTTACTGCTGCCTTTACTTTCCTGTATCATTGTTCCTCACCTACTCATTTTTTGGTCACTGCCCATGAATCAATAGAATGGAACCCTTAAATTAGAATCTGATTCTGACCCCCCAAATTATATCAATGTGAGGAGCTTCCTTTGGCTCTGACATTACTATCAGGTGAGGTATATCATAAACAAAATGATTTTGTTGTGAATTTAGAATATGTACACATAATATTACATATTTCTCTTATCTACATATAATTTTCAATAAAAAATGAGTAACTAAAATAACTAAATCATATTGTAAGGACTCCGTTTCTCTTTTTCTTTCAAGACTAAAGGAAAATTCTATGCATGGTTTTATTGGGGTGCCAATTATAGACCAGAAGTCCAACAGCTGCTTCTTGAGTAAATTACTAATATAGAAAGAGAAAGAAAACTGGTAGTTATTGAGCAGACACTGTTGGAGACACTGTTATCTTACTTCATATTGAAAACAAAGGCGAGGCTTAGCAATGGATAAAGGATTAGATCTCAGACTATCTGGAAACTTCATACTTCTGTGATATGCTGTTCCAAATCTGCTGAAACTAAAATGAAATCAGGTTGAGAATATTTTACTATAACTTTATATAATTCAGATTCTAGTTGTCTAAATATATATATGTATATATATGAAAATATGTAGAAACACAGCAGCAAACTTCCTCAGTTTTATGTGTCTGTATTCCTCATACATTACTACTTACAAGTTCCTCAAATAGTAATGTCTAATTTTTTTCTTCAAATAAAGCATTCTTAGATATCTGATATTTTAAGTCCTTATTTTTTTAAACCATAAAGACAAAATCACTACTTTTTCATGGTTGTGATATTTAGAAGTAGAGTTATTATCCAGTTAACATTTTAGGTGGCTTTACAGCAAAGCAGAGTTTATTTCAGTTATAAAATAGGGAGAACAGGTACTATGAAAACATTTTATATCTTTGCATGACATAAAAGCTCCATTCCATGAATAAAACTTTAGATTTTCTTCAAACATTAAAGTATTAGAGAATTTTTAGAATGATATTTTTAAGGCTTAAGGAGACATGACATTTTTCTACAAAAATTGAGGTAAAAGTTACTACCAGTTACTAAATTAGAAATAGAAATGCAAAGTTGTCCTCCTTTTTCTGCCAGCTCAGGGGAGAATCACATCACTAAGCTATCTTATTTAAAATGGCAACAGACATCAAAAATCTATTCTGAAGGTAATAGCAACATGATTACCAATTAGGATTTAGGAACTGCTGTTAAAATATTACTCTGATATTCAAAATTTGGATTAGAAAAAAATCTCACATGTATCATACATATTGTGCAATTTGAACTGAACTTTGGTGTATTCTTCCCATAAGCACAGCTACTATTTTCTACTTTAATAGAGGACTTCTGTGATTAGTCACCGAATATGAATTGAAACTACTAAACATGTTTCTTTCAATCCTTTCTGAATTGCAAGGAACCTGTGTCTTAAGTTGGAGGACATCACTCAGTGCTACATAGAACACTATTGTTGGTTAATTAAATATTCAGTAATCTAAAACTATCTATATAACCTCGCAACCTTGGCTCCTGGAAATCTTTCATTTCCCTTGAAAATTTCCTGTTATTAAATAAGGGAAGTTTAAACGTTCTAGACTTTTTTTTTTTTTTTTTTTTTTTTTTTTTTTTTTTGAGACGGAGTCTCGCTCTGTCACCCAGGCTGGAGTGCAGTGGCACGATCTCGGCTCACTGCAAGCTGCACCTCCCAGGTTCAAGTGATTCTCCTGCCTCAGCCTCCTGAGTAGCTGAGATTACAGGTGCACGCCACTATGCCCGGCTAATTTTTATATTTTTAGTAGAGACGGGGTTTCACCATGTTGGTCAGGCTGGTCTCGAACTCCTGACATCGTAATCCACCTGCCTCAGCCTCCCAAAGTGCTGGATTACAGGCGTGAGCAACCGTGCCCTGCCTAAAGGTTCTAGACTTTTAAAATAAGAAAACAGCCAATCAAATAAACTAAATAAAAGCCTAGACAAAATCAACTGGGTTTACAATTCATAAAAACATACAGCCAAATATCAATTTGATTGGGGGTGAAAAAAATAATAAACTTAGTCCTTACAACATCACTTGTATCTTTGCTAAGTTTAATTCTAATGTAGTAATGGGGACACTGGAAAGGCTTTAGTTTTCCTTTAATACTTCAAGATCCACATAACTTCTGCCCCTTTTTGTATGTCACCTGGAGCCTTCCACTTCTCATGCAATCTAGTTAAAGAGTTAGGGTCTTGTGACAATAGGAATTTAAATGACATTTGTTGGTCCAAGGATAGACAGTTTACTGTATGAGCAAGAATAGCCATGTGCTGGATTCTGTGGGGTTTTATTAAGGGCTTGCTTATTCACACCTGTCTTATTTTAACTGTAAACATTTAGGAAACAGAAGTATCTTCACAAACAGATATTGATCTCCATAGGCCAAGTTTACACTCAGTTATAATGCATCAGTGCTTCAGTATGTTTGTCCTAATATAGTTGAAAACACAGTTCTCCACACATTTGAGTTTGCATTATATGAGGAGTGCTTCCTATTTTTTTGTTAGTTTGTGTTCTATAAATAAAAAGGCATTGGAAGTACACAATTCTTCATTCCTTTAGGTTTCTTTTTGCTGAATGTCAGTTGGTCTCCATGCCTCACAAAAGGGCCACAAACATATTCATCACACATACACACAACACTCAGAGTGTGTTCTCAACAATCATACAGGGTGATGTTCACATTTGAATAATAACATAAGTTAAAGGATTGATTCACTTATGAGTTTACTCACTTGGAATTTTAGTACTGGAATGGTCCATAGTAAATTTGAAACCCTGACATTTTTTAAAAGTAAAAGCTACTTTCCTTTCTTTCATGTTATCTACATTTCTCTTTTATGTTATAAATGTATTTGCAGATAGCATAAGCCATAAGAAAATTCATGTAAAATTAAATACATTTAAAACTAGGTTAAAATAATAAAACAAAAAAAATGCAGGAAAGCAAGATATAACAACCAATATTAGGTTACATATATACATATTTTCAATCTTTTATACACTTCATACTGGGTAAAAAAATTTTATTATGTTTTCCGTTAGCCAATATGAAGACAGAAATAGTTACAGATTTCACAAGTTTCATAAGACAACAAAACAGATACTCAGGAGAACAATTATTATAAGCATTGAGGCCAGGTCAATGTTTCATTGAAACGTTTTCAACATGAGAACACTATGTAATGTAATTAATTAATTTCCTCAAAATAATCCAGCTAGTAAAAATGCCTGGGGGACTCATAAGGCTACTTCTTGTTAGAACACAAATTACAAGTTTGCCTTGGAATATCTGTAGAGAGTAAAGAGTCTAATAATTAGAACCATACTTGTTAGTGAATGCAAGAGTGAAATCTTAGAGTGGTGGTTCCCTATACTTCTCAAGAGTATACTTCTCAGGTTGAACATATATTAGACTGGTATTTCTCAACTTTTTTTCATTGTTATCCATTTAAGGAGAGAATTTGATATTTTTCTAAGTTTTTCCTAATTGTCCCTCCCCTAAAGAAAATTTTAATAGCATAGAATGCTGTATATCTCTTTAGGTGTTGCATATGTATCTCTGCTTTATACATAAAAGAGTACTCTTGTTTGCTCCCCATGCCCCAAAACCAATTTTTCATCTATTGTAGGCAATATCACATCCCACTGAGGAAGCACGTGCTAAGGAAACAGACGTTTCTCTTGCAAATATTAATTCTTCATGATATAATTTCCACACTTTATTAGCTCCACTCCCAGATCCATAGACCCAAAGAGTAAGAAAAAAAGAAAGTGAAATGTATCTGTTACTACCATACATACAACAACTTGGTAAAACACAATTTAGTAAAGACTATCCAACAGCAGATCAATTAAGCACTACTTGTTCATGTACCCATTTCTCTTATAATCTATTTCAGGAGATTTTTGAATATGTAAAGAAATTCCATAGTCTTCTCAACTACTTTTCAAAATGTGTTAGCAATGGTAAGTTCAATATTGTACTAACAAATTACTGGTGTGAAGCTAGGTAATCTATATTGGAGTAAAATGCAGAGATTTCATGTATTATAATGAGGGGTTAGGCAGATGGTTTTTCTTTATTTCTTTTTAATCCTTCTGAAAATTGAGTTTAACAATGGACCCATAGAGGAAAATCAGGGCCCCTGGCCAATCTTTTGGATCTGGAATTGTAAAATATCTAAAACAAGTTCCTTCTGAAGCCATTGATTTCTTGCACAATAAATATATCCTTTAATGGAAATGGTCGGGTGGTCTCCATTTTATAATCCCTATATTCCACACAAGTTTGTCTGTGGAATAAAGGACACACACACACACACACACGATTTGTTTTTTTTAACATTTCATTTTGCTGCTTAATTTTACATGCTAAATTAAAAAAGAAAAAGAAAATTGATTTTTTCAAAATTAATTTTTGCCTTAGACTCCAATCTCTAAGGATTTTATATTTTGGTATTTATTTTTATGGGTTAAATGTAACCTTGATCAAGTCCACTTCAGGGTCTCTGTCTATTCTTCACGAAAGGCATGGTGTATACGGTCATTTTGTTCATCTAAATTCTCCCATAGGCTTTGAATATGTGAAATGTGCCAGGAAATGAATTGAGAGGAGGAATTTGAAGTAAGTAAACTTGTATGAATAATAAAATTAGAAAAATTATTAGTTGTCTGGGTAACTATATTTTAACAGGGTGGGGAAAAGGAGAGTTAGAGGAAGAAAACGTTTCGACTAGATTTAAAGATGGAGAAAGATATGCACTGTGTGATTTAATATACAAAGATCTCTGGTAGCTTAGTGGTCAAAATAAATTTGGAGCTGTTATTACATTTTAAACTGTTTATATTAATTTAACATAAACCATCTTCATTTATCCAACTTAATAAAGTCTGTTGAACATTCAAAACTACTCACAGAAAAATCAGTTATAGTGGACTGTTTAATTCCTTCATTTTAAGCCAAAATCAACAAAGAAAAAGGTAAATGGCCTGAGTTTCAAAACGAGTGAGATGATCCATAACCTGAAATAATTTTATCAAAATCAATGCTTAACCTCAGGGTTAGGGAAGTCAACTTCAGCTTGATGTTCTCTCTCAAATATTTTTCAAGTCTTGGATAAGAAGTAGGCATTTGCTTTAAAGGTATATCCTATGTAGTAAAGTGAGTATATTTAAAGTGCCATACATTTGCAAAATACAGCCATCAACAATTCTTATTGGTGCTAACTCCAAAAGCTCAATTATGTTCACATTTTTTGTCTGGTCTTTTATTCCAAATCACCATCGACTTTACTGAATGGTTTGTTATAACAATTTTTAACTTATAATTGTTTTCTAAAATGTAAAATAGATTGTATTAACCACTTTTTGGAAAAGCATTTTAGAGCTTTTCATTGAGTTTGTAATACAAGCTAAAGTCACCATGGCCCTGCATGTTAGGACACTGCCTATCTTTCCAACTCCATCCCACATGCATCTTCTCATGCTTACAATGCTCTAACTACAGTGTTGTTCAAACTTACCATGCTCCTTTCTACTCCATCACTTTTGCAGTTTTTGCCTCAAAGAATGTACTTCCTCAAGAACTTAGTGGTTGGTTCTTTTTCATCTTTTAGAATCCTGCCCAAGTCTAAATACTATCTAAAATACTTTCTGCTCATCAGTTACTCTCTATTGTATAATCCTTTTAATTTCACTTTTCTTATATTTTATGTTTTGTGCATTTCTGTATATGTTTATAGCCTCTCACCTCCTTTAGAGGTACCCAAGTCTTGACTGTCTTATGCATAATTGTAACCTATAACATAGGGAGTTGCTTAACACCCAAAGATTAATCAAAATGTAATTATTCAGTTAATAAGTATTATCTAATATATTGATAATATAAACAGCCAAATAATATGTAAAAACATTTTTGTTTTGGTTTGCTTGTGTCAAACCAAATAATAGTGTTTGAATAAAATAAATCTAAATCAAGAATATAATTTTTTTTCTAGATATCTATTTCTGATTGTTTAAAAAGGTAAAAGTCCCTGATGGCCTCTAGAATTTACAATACAGTTGCTTGTAATATGTAGTCAAGGAAATTTGATTTTTCTCGTAGCTCTTACTCTAACAAAAATGTTAATATTTCACATCTCATTTTTCATCCAAGACTTTCACTTTTTTTTTTCATTTGGAAGCAATGTTATACTTGTTTTAAGCATTTAAGCCACCCTACCTCAGATGCCAATCGTATCTTTTAAAAATTTCATTAATTAATTAATTAATTCTTTGAGACAGAGTTTCACTCTGTCACCCAGGCTAGGATGCAGTGTTGCAGTGAAGGCTTACTGCAGCCTCAACCTCCTAAGCTCAAGCGATCCTTCCTCCTCAGCTTCCTGAGTAGCTGGGACCACAATGTGCACCACCACACCCAATTAATTTTTTGTTTTTTGTATTGACAAGGTCTCACCATGTTCCTCAGGCTGGTCTCAAACTCCTAGGCTCAAGTGATCCTCCCTCCTTGGACTCCCAAAGTGAGATTACATGCCTGAGATTACAGGCATAAGCCATTGCACTTGGCTCTCAATCATATATGTGTGCTATTCCAAAGTTAAGATTTAGTTCTCTTAGTTTGAACCAGTTGTGAGGAGCAAAGTATGCTTTCCTTGGTTTGCCCTCCAAACTTTCAAACCCATAGATCACAGATTGAAAGAGCTGAAATTAAACAGCTAAAGCAGCTTTTTCTATACTAGCATTCTTCCATCTAAGTTATGATTTAAGAGATTTTTCCCAAAGACAGAGGAATCTAGATGAACTTTTCAAATCCAAAGAGCTCATATAGCACATATTTTATACATGCAGAGAATCATTTGTGCTATTTTAGTTAAACTTAGAATGTTGGGAATATTGACATGGATCTTACCAGATAAAAGTATAAATGCAGTGAATACTCTGCTTGGTGTATCAGTCAAAGTAATGAAAATCAGTCTGACACAAATTACTAATCTCTCCATATGTGATATGAGGGTCAGAAAGCTCATGTTTTATGGCTGAATTGATACGTTTTGCCAATATAAATGTCTCTCAGTAAATGTCTCACATATTTTTCAAGGACCAGTAGGTTTGACACCTTGAACAAATGTAAGATGAAGTATAACATGTTGAAATGATACCAACTTAATCTCATCCTATCAGCACACAATCCATCACCCAGTAGACTATGAGCCTGAATAAAATATTTTTAAATAAATCTATATCTCACAAGCAAGCTGTCTCAACTTATAGCTATATATCAAAGTCTAACAAATACAGTTTTCCACTAACTTGATAAATACTGAGAAAGGCAAGAATAATTATTTTATAATACTAAAATTAAACTCTAAGAAAGTTTACTTAAATATTTTATATTATATGGAAAATTAGGTGCAGATGTCAAGTATGTGTATTTTTCTTTATTTTTAGTTCAAAAATTATAATTGTGTATACTTGCTGAGTACAGTGTGATGTTTTGATCTCTGTAGGCTTCACAGAATGATTTAATCAAGCAAATTCACGTATTTGCTTACCAACTTATTTTTTTGTGGTGAGAATGCTAAAAATCTATTTTTTAACAATATAAAATATACAACAGTATTATTAACTGTGGTCACTATGCAGTGCAATATATGTGTGTTTTAAATTTGTCTTTGTTTCACAAGAACTGAAAGAACAGACTCATCACTGCATAATGATGTTTTGTATATGCCTGTATTCACTAATAAATGTAAAGTTTAATGATATTTTTACACAAATTTCTACATAAAAGTTTCAGTATGCCATTAATAAGCCTGATTAAATTAGGTTGTACATCTAGGCAGTCAAGGCTGTTATGACTGAGAACATGGAATTTTCATGTTAAATTTTCTGAAACTCTAAATTCTCTGAAACTACTAAATGACAATTATCTGCAAAATATAAGCCATAATTATACTCAATAATCATCAATAGATAAATAATTATCTCACATGGAATCATTTTTTAATCTCAAATTGTCACCATGGATTACATTTTGTTTCTTGACCCACTGACCCTACTAACAAGAGACATTTTTATTTTTATTATAGGACCTTTTATATTTAATAGATGTTGCTATAGTTGATCTGCAAATGTATTGAAAGTGCTTAGATATCAAATTTGAACATAGCTATCTTTATATTCATTGCCACATGTATCAAGAAAAACAGCAAGGGTATTGCTTAGATTTTTAAAACAGATTTTGAAAGAATCTAAACATATTTTCACACACTGTTTCTGTTTTGTTTGCTTTTATAATTACCAGGAGTTATATTTTAGTTGAAATATTATAAAGAAATAAAGAAAGTAGCTTGCAAGCCAAATATTTCCACAGAGAATAGAAATTCAATTATTTTTTGAAAAAGAAAACTGTCAATGAACATACTAGCCAATTTACAGGCATAAACAACTGAAAAAAAAGTGAGCTTAAAGTGGACATTGGGACTATCAGGATGTAACATTGAGTTACATGTTATTTGCTCTTTTCTCAAAAGAGAAAAACACAATATTTTTAAAAGATTGGAATTAAAGATTTTCTGTTACTTTAACAGCACAGGGAATGCTATAAGAAATCGGAGGTTACATACGTGTGCATGTGTCTTTATAGCAGCATGATTTATAGTCATTTGGGTATATACCCAGTAATGGGATGGCTGGGTCAAATGGTATTTCTAGTTCTAGATCCCTGAGGAATTGCCACATTGACTTCCACAATGGTTGAACTAGTTTACAGTCCCACCAACAGTGTAAAAGTGTTCCTATTTCTCCACATCCTCTCCAGCACCTGTTGTTTCCTGACTTTTTAATGATTGCCATTCTAACTGGTGTGAGATGATATCTCATAGTGGTTTTGATTTGCATTTCTCTGATGGCCAGTGATGATGAGCATTTTTTCATGTGTTGCGGCATTATTCACAATAGCAAAGACTTGGAACCAACCCAAATGTCCAACAATGATAGACTGGATTAAGAAAATGTGGCACATATACACCATGGAATACTATGCAGCCATAAAAAATGATGAGTTCATGTCCTTTGTAGGGACATGGATGAAATTGGAAACCATCATTCTCAGTAAACTATCGCAAGAACAAAAAACCAAATACCGCATATTCTCACTCATAGGTGGGAATTGAACAATGAGATCACATGGACACAGGAAGGGGAATATCACACTCTGGGGACTGTGGTGGGGAGGGGGGAGGGGGGAGGGATAGCATTGGGAGATATACCTAATGCTAGATGACGAGTTAGTGGGTGCAGCGCACCAGCATGGCACATGTATACATATGTAACTAACCTGCACAATGTGCACATGTACCCTAAAACTTAAAGTATAATTAAAAAAAAAAAAAAAAAAAAGAAATCGGAGGTTACAACTGATCCTACACCACACATAGGGGATACTGAAGTGGTTTTCCTACCAGGTGTACTACAAGTCAGCCACAGATTCTCTTTCAGTACGCCTGAGAATAACTTCACTGCCTCCTGGGTAACACAAGAAAATATGACAGAATTAGTTTGAATGCACTGAAATAATTTTAGGTGAATTATTAGCCCCTTTTTCTCATATCTGTGGTCAGAAATATGAAGGTTGTAGATTTTGCAATGAATTCGCTTTTTCTGTTTGCCTCAATTGAGTCTTGCTTTATGAGGGAAATCAGAATCATACACAATGTTTATGTCCCCCAACAGATTCTAACCATTCTACCCAAGAATATTACATATGTTGATATATGAATAGAAGAATAGGAATATAAATGATGATATATGTGAAGAGAATACAAAACAAAGAAAGAAAAGAGAGAAGTTGAATGTTAGAAATAAAAATCCAAAGGAGGCTCTAAAGGTATGTCCTTCATCTCAATAATAAAGAACTAGCATTAAAATAATTAAATGAAAATTTAGTATACTCTTAATTGATTTGCAAACCAATGCATTGATTTTACTTCTCTCTGTTTATTTATTAATTATCACTTGATTACTTCTTTTATTCATATCTACTCAATAATTAGCCATAAAATTCCTAAGATTTGCATTTGGTAATTTTATGAGATAAAGAAGTAACTTTGGTATGATGAAGAATTAGAAATAAAGGTAACTTTGGTATGATGAAGAATTAGAAAAGTGAGCAAAAGATAAGAATAATGTAATTAGAAACAATCTGCAATCTGAAAGAGAATAATCTTAACATAGTGTTCTGAAAAGTTAGAGTTGCCAAAGTCAAAGAGAAGTTTAAAGAGTTTTAAAGTTTTATCCTGGACTAAAAATGTACTAAAAAGTATTCACAATTTTACTCCAGTTACCAGACCTATTCCTAAAGTAGAAATGACCCTAATATCCCAGAAACTTAGAGCAAATCAAAACCTGTTGACTGAAAAAACATGCCATTATCAATTCTATGGAAAACAGGATATGACATCAAAACTGACTCTGAGAGAACAAACTGTGGCCAGATTTTATAAGCTCCTATATTATATTGCTCACTTGGTGTTAGAAGTGGTCTTGGTTATTTTATTATTATTATTATTATTATTATTATTATTATTATTATTATTTTGAGACGAAGTCTTGCTCTGTTGCCCAGACTAGAGTGCAGTGGCATGAT
The DNA here is from genome assembly GCF_000001405.40 of Homo sapiens. Taxonomy (NCBI): domain Eukaryota; kingdom Metazoa; phylum Chordata; class Mammalia; order Primates; family Hominidae; genus Homo; species Homo sapiens. The sequence continues at coordinate 118,961 of NT_187555.1, forward strand.
CTTGGCTCACTGCAACCTCCACCTTCCAGGTTCAAGCGATTCTCCTGCCTCAGCCTCCCAAGTAGCTGGGACTACAGGCGCATGCCACACCACGCCCGGCTAGATTTTTGTATTTTTTTTAGTAGAGACAGGGTTTCACCGTGTTAGCCAGGATGGTCTCCATCTCCTGACCTTGTGATCCACCTGCCTCAGCCTCCCAAAGTGCTGGGATACAGGCGTGATCCACCACACCCGGCCAGAAGTGGTCTTGGTTATCAACATGGTTACAGATAAAGCATAATGGTCAATATGACCAGGTTCTCTTATAATCTGTCACAAGTGATCTACAATACATTATTGTCATTTGAATCGTTTTTTATGTCAGTTTTTTCTTCTATTAAATATGAAAAATAGAAAAGTAATTATTTAACACTTAGTAGAAACACCACAAAGAAATGCAACAGGAACTACATGTAAACTAAAGATTGTTTAAAGCCTTTTACAAAAATTCAGAGAATAAAATGAGTGATACATTTAAGTGTTTTAATCTCACCTGAGAGCTCACTCTAATTCACCTTTAAATAAGTCTTTGAGCATTAATATATTTTAAGTTTTATTTATCACTTTATTTATATAATCAAACCAAAGAAAATAAATCAAAATAAATCCTGCTGATTCTGAAATTTTTAGATTTCTTTCCAAAAATCAGATAAGTTTAAGTTTTATGTTTGGATTATCTTGCTAGCACCATAATAAATATGTTTAAACAATGTTTATAGGATATATTTTAATCTCAACTTATCAATTATAACACAGTGATAAATAACCATCTGATAAAATAGATCATTTGAAAGCTTTGTAATAGTTAAACATATTTGACTCTATTTAGACTCAAGATTGGCAAACATAAATGAAGAGCAGAGAAATGAGAACAAGAAAAGGCTACTTATTCAGAGCTTGCTATAGCAGGGAAATCACTTGATTTTGATATATAGCAGAATAAAAAAAGAAGGTCTCAGGTATGCTGTTGACATAGACAAGTTGCAGGCAGGCTAGCAGAAGTGGGGCATCTCTGTAATTGGGTTCCTCTGATTAGTCCTGTTTTAAATAACAGCAAATATTAGGGAAGCTGACAAGTATTAAGAGCTTATTGTTATAAGGGTTATTGTTTGTCTTCCTAAATTGGTTGTCCGAGAGAATCGTCTGACTTCTTGGACTAGTTACTATAGACAGTAGGTTAGCTTTTGTGGATGGTTTCTGGAGATAGGATGTTGGCTTCCTGGGCTAATTGCTGCAGGTTGTGGGTGTGGATTCTATTTTTACATACAGTCTTGCGCTTATCCATTTATATATTCAGTCACACATTAGATATTTATGTGCACCTTACTTCCATTGCAATGTACTTTTTTACAGAATGAAGAAGCATTAGACTATGTGAAATTTATATCATTTGAAAAAATTCCAAATATAATTATAAGCATTAAATGTTTTCCTTGAGTCTCCAAGTCATTTCAATTAGTATTTAATTTTGTTAATAGCAATATTCAGAAAATCTAACTTCAAGATTAATTTTCACAAAGTTCATATAGGCTTTGAAAGAGTTAAAGAGATGTCTTCATTCTTAATAAAAACTTAATATACAGCACTATAACTTTATTGAAAAAATAGATTAATGAAACAGACAAGATTTAAGCATTTTTAAAATAATTTGATTAACTTACATGTTTTCAAAGTTTGTATAAATCATTGCAGACATTAGAAATTTATTCATATTCCTTATTCATTCTTGCAGTCATTTCATATATAATCATAATAAACAAATAGATTCTGAGCAGTTACAAAATGTTAGGCACTTAACTAAATACCAATGTAGAGTGAGAAACAGTATGTAGGATAATAAAGACCTTGGATCCTGGAACCAGATTGGTATGATTTTGAAGAGACTGGGCAAGATTATTTAAATAATTTATTACTCAGTTTCAGCATCTGTAAAACGAGGAAACCTTATTTTGTTGTTTTGTTACTTAAATAACATATACTAGATATTATATCTAACACTTAGATAACTGCATAACGAGATTAAGCTTTATTCATTTTTTATTTAACTTTTATTTTAAGTTCAGAAGTACATGTGCAGGTTTGTTATATAGGTACATTTATGTCATGGGGCGCTTTTTTGCAAAGATTATTTCATCACTCAGGTATTAAGCCTAGTACCCACTAGATACTTTTCCTGTTCATCTCCCTCCTCCAAAATTCCACCCTCTGACAGGCCTCAGTGTGTGTCATGCCCTCTGTGTGTCTACGCGTTCTCATCACTTAGCTCCTTCTTATAAGTGATAACATGCAATATTTGGTCTTCTACTCCTGCATTAGTTTGCTAAGGATAATGGCCTTGAGCTCCATCCATGTCTCTGTAAAGGACATAATATCTGTTATATGGTTGTATAGTATTCCATGGTGTATAAGGTTTAAGTATTTTTTCAGGATCCTAGAAATCTCGTGGATGTTTTTAAGCACCAGTATGTTATAAAAACAAGACAGTTGACAAAGTTTGAAGAATATCAATTTCCTTTATAAGATAGTTATCAAAGAGTCTGATGAAGATGAGCATATTTCATTCCAAATGAAACAGTTGAAATGCTGACTAGAAAAAAACATCCCAATGGAAGTAAAATAGAATAAAAAAGGATATGAGGGATACATGTTAGAATTAATCAGTATGACTTTCAGTTCTAGTTAAGGGTGTATTTAAATATATTTGTGAATAAAAAACTCATTTTAATCTCAATGAACTGGAAGAAAATATATCAATATTTAGCTTTTAGAACAATTTTTAAGTGAAAATTCCTCTCAATTATTATTACATTTTCTCTATGTAGATTGATCAGTATAAATATTTCTATATAAATTTTACATTAATATATTAATGTAATACATCAATAAAATTAATACATTAATTTTCAACTCATTACATTTAACTAAAATATAGTTAAAATTGGGAACAAATTTTATTTTTTTGTCAATTTATAATGATCAGATTGAGTGATCAGATTGAGTAATCATCATTGACAAAAATTCTATAGATAATAACTTCATTTTGTGAATGGCTTATTTTCTTGGCAGTTATTTTACTAATACTTTATGTATTTTGAAACATTTTCTGCCATATTTAATGCTTTAAATTTATTTTCATTAGTGTATTTCTGTAAGTTGAGCTTCTAGAATTGCGAGTTAACTGCAAATAATAAAATTATTGGAAGTTTTGTTTTTCTTTTCAACCACATTTCATGTCCATGGTTCACTTAGTATGGAAAATGAGAGACAAATATAAAACAGAATAACATTGAATTTTTCAGTGTTAACTTTGAAATCATTTTATTGTCTGAAATGTCAATAATATTCACTTTCCAACTATTTCAATTACATATATAATATAAAATAGGAGTAAATATTTGAAAATAAAATATTCTTTCCTCTTACTAGATATCTATTAAAATTGAACTCCTGAATTTTAATTATACTTAAAATATATAATAAAATGATTTTAATTATTATAGAGTATATTACCATAAGTGATTTTCATAATATTGATTTAGCTGCTCTATTTAATGACAATATTGGAAAAGCTTACAATGAATAATGAATTGAATAATAATTACTTCTTTTATGGGGTTAAATTATATGTAGAATCTGTAAAACTCCAACCATTGTCAAATGCATTGGGTGCTAGATTTTAATAGACTCTATATAAAAATTTTAGAGAGTTTGTCATCTCTAATGCTTCATCACCAGTCCAGCTGCCTTTTAGACATCTCATAAGGAGATGTTTAAATGAAGAACTCATAAGGACTTCATTGGTATACATTATAACAACTAAACTCACATTGATCCAGAAATAAAAAAGAATCCAATGACTAATGCAACTTAAAAGCCCAAGGATAAAATTAACTTCAGGCTTAGCTGGATCCAGGAAATTAAATATATTATTAGTTCAGTTTCTTCATCTCTGTGTTGGCTTTATTCTCAGGCAAGTTATTTTTATATGGTGACCCCCCCCCCATTAATGCTATGTTAATATCTTACCTCTTTACCTTGGAAAACAGAATTGTATTTTCTCAGTAGTTAAAAAAAAATCACTTAAACGTATTGAGTCAGTTATCCATCCATGAAGCAATCTTTATGATTCATAGGTTAGAAAATGTAATTGTCCAAGACTAGGTAATAGGACCACCAGAAAGCTGCTCTGTGTGTAGCAAGTGGTGGAGTTGTCGTTAAATCACGTGAAGTGACTGGGGCATCAGTGGCTTAGGTTAGCAAGATATTAATATGAACCATATATGGAAGGACAAAAATCTGACTGGAACACAATTTTTGTAATGGAGTAATTTATGTTATTTTATGTAAAGTAATTTTGCATTTTAAATTTAATAATGTCTTCAAACCTTTATGATGGTAAACCCATGCTAATATTTTATAATATATAAATTAAACACTTTAGGCTTTAATAGAAACAAAAATAAATAAATATAGACAATATATTCATATTTATATAGACAATATATATAGACAATGTATTTATTGTCTATATTTCAAAGGCAGATTAAAGTTTCAACAATTCTAGGATAAATACTATCAATATTATGTCATGGGAATTCAATGATTGTGTATTACATTATACAAAGTTTTCTGTTTTTTACTCACAGCCAAGAAAATGAATTTTCTCACCATAATTCAGTAGTGGGTATAATGTTCATTATGCCAAATTAGAATCTATTATGAACTAAAGAGAAATAACAAAAAGTTAAATGCAATAAACAAAAACAACTAAGAATCATGACATTATTTTTCAAGATTCAACATAACTCCTTTTGCTTTGAAAAATGTTTTCTATGAGTTTCAAGACAAAGATTTACATTTGTGCATGTATATGAGAGCTGAATATGTTAATTTATCGTACTTTTTCTGTAACTGGTTACTTAGAAAATACAAGAACTCTTTTAATATGGTTGAAAAAGCGGACCTAAATCAGAGAAATGATGAAATGGTATCTAGGCAGGACCCAGTGATCCAATATAAACCAGAGGCAGGAAATTAGAAAAAGAAGGGCAACTAGAAGAATATTTTAAATTTAATATTTAAAGATTAGATAAATAGATATTTGTAATACTATAAGAGTACAGAAAATCATTACTATAAAACGTTGTTGTATTTTCTATGTCATAGCTCTTAAATTATTTTCTTCCAATGATGACTATTTACTATATATATTATATACATACATTTAATGTCATGATACAAGTTAAAACAATAAAATTTGTGATAAATTATTTTAAAATAAGCCAACTTCCATATAAATGACTTATATTAATCATGTATGCTCTGGCTCACTACTCTGATTGTCTTTCTTCATTAACTGTGTATAGATTATATACTATACTATGTAATGACTATTGCAGAGGCCATCACTAGTGGTCACCAGGATTTTGACTCTTCATTCTGGCCACACAGTGTCTTGAAGTCAGCTGTGAATATGTGATTTGTTTCATGGTCATTGCAATGTGAACAAAAGTAGTGTGTGCCACTTGGAGGTGGAAGCTCTTGATACCTGATAAGTGATCCTTCATGCTCTCTTACCCAGTTGTGATGAATCCTGAAACCTTGTACTGCAATGCCAGCATCTTCCATCACTCCTAGTGATGACGATAAATTGACCTCTCCTTTAGGTCTGGACTGGACTTGTGGAATGAATAGGTAATGAACCTTCATTGCTTTAAGCCGTTGAGAATTTGGGATTGTTTGTTACAAAAAAGAATTTTAATTTTTTCTAATACAACTATGGATGGTTTATCTGGTAGTTTTATTATTAAATTTATTGGGTGATTAGCTTAGTTTTGCACAGAAACTTCAAAGATAGAGCTGAAGATATGTAAATAAATAATTGTATTACAGTTATTAAAGTAAGAGATATAAGAACACATTCTCAACATTCACAAAACTTGTAGTCTAGTGAGTGCTGGATTGCAATGAGATAACTGTTGTAAGTACAAGTGAGATGAGAGAGAGTACAAAAAAAAGTAATTATACTGGGAAGAAAATTTTATAAGGAACTTACCATTTTAACTGGGACTTGAAGGACAAGGATACCAATACTAATAAATCCTAAGAGACTTTATTGTTATATCAATATAAAATATGAGCTCATTGTTCCCTTTCAACCACTTAAATTGCAAATTTTTTTGTATATATAACCTTATAAATCATGTTTGAAATTACTACAATTTTTGCACTTTGAATAGTACTTAATAAAAGTGGTACAGAAATTGCAGAATATATATTACATTGCATTTGCCATTTATATGTATCAAAGAAGATAGTGACTCATATGTACATTAAGAGAAACACATTTCAAAACCTGAATATAATTCATTTTTTTTTCAGATTGTTCACCTCTAAGATTCCTAAGGGAAACAATTTTTCCGTTGCTGTTTGACTTTTTAAAATACTAGGGATTACTCAGAATGTTGATTACTGAATAGCAGGACAGATATATTGCAAAGTATTAAGTAATGTTTAGGAAAAGATTAGTTGGGGATTTAGCATTCAAAGGTAATGTGGCATCAATATAATGTAGAGATCTTGAGATATTTCTATATGGAACTCAGTGATTCTGAATAGTTTGAGTAGGATTGAGTAATGATAAATTAGTCGAATTTTAATTGATATTCATTTAAATATAATATGTTGGAGATCAGGTAAGTTCATGCATGAGAGTGAATAGGGGTTTTGCATTTATGGCTTAGTCAAAGTGGCATCTCGTCATGAAATAATATAAATAATATTTATTTACTTTCACATTCTCTATCAGAAAGATTGACCTTTTTTTGCTTATAATCATATCACCTGAGGAATGCAGCTGCCTCCAGTAAAATTCACCATCAGGTCTTTCAATGGTTTTAAACAGTTGTACACAAATTATTTGATGCATCTACCTTCAAGACATGAAGTTTTGTTTTTATCCCTGTGAGTATGAGCTGGACTTAGTGGCATGTGTTTGGTGAATAGAATACAGCGAACATGATACAATTTCACTTCTGAAATTAGATTTTGCCACCACTGTGCCTTCCACCTTAAGTGTTCTCTAGCACACTCTCAAATCCTTAGCTGCCATATGATAAAAATACTTGAATAATCTATGGAAAAACTTACATGGCAAAGAATTAAGGCTGTAACAACCATGTTAGTAAGTTTGGAATTACATATTCTAAGACCTTCTAATAGCCACGTGAATGAGCTTATAAGCAGATCCTCCAGCCTGAATCAAGCCCTGCGATATTAATAAATTCAACCCAGGACCACAGCTTGTCTATGGCTTTTTGAGCTATCCTGAGCCAAATATACCCAGCTAAGCCATTCCCAGATTCCTGAATCACATAGCTTGTGAAATACTAAGTCTTTGTTGTTTTAAGCCATAAATTTGAGATAATTTGTCATGCAGCAATACATGCAATACATGACCAATACAGATCTCATAGAGTTTTAACTGCCATATAAAACACACCTATGACTAAAATGAACTTTAGAAGATCCCTGGTTATGACCATTTTAGGATAGTTCCAACTGAACCCTGGTTCATTGTAGATGCTGTAGTCATCCCTGAGGAAATTGTAATATGGGGATTAGGTTAGAAATTTCTTCTGCTTTGCTACCTTCAAGCATAGCATACATATTTCTATTTGTTTTGCACATTGTAATTTTAAATAAGCCTGTGTGTAAAAAACTAGAGTTGAAAACCTTACTCTGTTCATTTTAAAGATGAGGAAAGAGGTATTCCAGAAAGTTTAAGTGGTTTACTTATTGTTATTACATAATTATATTTATCAGAACTGAATCCAAAATGCAGGTTCACTGCTTACCCAGGTATGTTTGTTCAACATAAAACTGAAATTACCACATTTTCTTAAATGTTATGTACAAATGATCAAGTTGTGCTCTACCATTTGTCAACTTTAAACAGCAAGCATTAGATATTTTCAATAAGAAACTATTTTCTCTCATCATTTATGGGCTACTGTGATAAGAACAGCAAGGGATCTGTATTAGCCCATTTGAGGTTTAATTGACTCACAGTTCTTCATGGCTGAGAAGGCCTCAGGAAACTTAACAGTTACAGCAGAAGGTAAAGGGGAAGCAAGGCACGTCTTACATGGTGGCAGGAGAGAGAGCGAAAGAGAAAGAGAGAGAGAGAGAGAAGGAGTAGAAGAAAAAGAACTGCCAAACACTTTTAAACAATCAGATCTCATGAGAACTCACTTGCTTTCATGAGAACAGCATGAGGGAAACTGTCCTCATGATTCAATCACCTCCCACCAGGTCCCTCCTTTGCCACATGGGAATTACAATTCAAGATGAGATTTGGGTACAGACACAGAGCCAGACCATATCATTCCACCCCTGGCCCCGACCAAATCTCATGTCCTCTTACATTTCAAAACCAATCGTGCCTTCCCAACCAGTACCCCAAACTCTTAATTCATTTCAGCATTATCTCAGAAGTCTGCAATCCAAACTCTCATGTGAGACAAGGCAAGTCCCTTCCACCTAGGAACCTGTAAAATCAAAAGCAAGTTAGTAACTTCCAAGATACAATGGGTGTATAGGCATTGGATAAGTGCTCCCATTCCAAATGGGATAAATTGGCCAATATGAAGGAGCTACTGGCTTCATGAAATTCCAAAATCCAGTGGGTCAGCAATTAAATCTTAAAGCTCCAAAATGACCTCCTTTGATTCCATGTCTCACACTTAGGCATGCTGATACAAGGGGTGGGCTCCCAAGGACTTGGGCAGCTCTGCCTCTGTGGCTCTTCAGGGTACATACCCCATGACTGCTTTCACAGGCTGGCATTGAGTGTCTGCTGTTTTTCCAAGTGCACAGTGCAAGCTGTCAATGGATCTACCTTTCTGGTGTATGGAGGATGGTGGCCATCTTCTCACAGCTCCACTAGGCACTGCCCCAATGGGCACTCAGTGTTGGGGCTCCAACCACACATTTCTCCTCTGTATTGCCCTAGTAGAGGTTTTCCATGAGGGCTCTGCCCCTGCAGCAGACTTCTGCTTGGATATTGAGGCCTTTCCATACATCCTCTGAAATCTAAGCAGAAGTTCCCAAAGATCACCTCTTGTCTTTTGCATGCCCACAGGCCCAGCACCACTTGGAAGTTGCCAGTGCTTGGGGCTTGTACCCTCTGAAGCAACGACCTGAGCTGCACTTTTGCTTGTTTGAGCCATGGCTGGAGCTGGAGCAGCTGGGATTCAGGGCACCATGTCCTAAGCCTGCACAGAGCAGCTAGGCCCTGGCCTGACCCACAAAACCATTTTTCCCTCTTAGGTCTCCAGGCCTGTGATGGGTGGGGATGACACAAAGATCTTTCATATAACCTGGAGACACTTTTCCCATTGTCTTAACATTCAGCTCCTCATTATTTATGCAGATTTATGCATCTGACTTGAATTTCTCCCTAGAATATGGGTTTTTTGTTTCTACTGAATGGTCAGGCTGCAAATATTTCAAACTTTTATGCTCTGCTTTTCTTTTAAACAAAATTTCCAGTTTCAGATAACCTCTTTGTTTACACATACGGGACTACACTTTCAGAAAATGCCAGTTTTCTGCTTAGAAATTTCTTCCAACTGATACCCTAAACAATCTCTCAAGGTCAAAGTTCCACAGATCTCTAGGGTGAGGCCAAAATATTTCAAACTTTTATGCTCTGCTTTCCTTTTAAACAAAATTTCCAGTTTCAGATAACCTCTGTGTTTCCACATATGGGACTACACTTTCAGAAAATGCCAGTTTTCTGCTTAGAAATTTCTTCCAACTGATACCCTAAACAATCTCTCAAGTTCAAAGTTCCACAGATCTCTAGGGTGAGGCCAAAATGCCACCAGTCTCTTTGCTAAAACATAGCAAGAGTGACCTTTTACTCTGGTTCCCAAAAATTTCCTCATCTCCATCTGAGACCACCTCAGGCTGGACTTCATTGTCGATATCACTAGCAGCATGTTGGTCAAAACCATTCAACAAGTCTCTAGGACTTTTCCGCATACTCTTGTCTTCTTCTGAACCCTCCAAACTATTCCAACCTCTGCCTGTTACCCAGTTCCAAAGTCACTTCTACATATTCAGTTTATCTTTATAGCAGTACCCCCTTCCTGGTACCAATTTATGTATTAGTCTGTTTTCACATTGCTGTGAAGAACTGCCTGATACTTGGTAATTTTTAAATAAAAGAGGTTTAATTGACTCAGAATTCTGAGTGGCTGGGATGGCCTCAAGAAACTTACAATAATGGGAGAAGGCGAAGGGGAAGTAAGGTTCATCTTACTTGGCAGCAGTATTGGGGGTGGGCGGATGTGCAAAACACTTTTAAACCATCAGATCTCATAAGAACTCACTCACTATCATGAGAAAAGCATGGGGAAACCACTCCCATGATTCCATCACCTTCCACCAGGTTCCTCCCTTGATACATGGGGATTACAATTTGAGATGAGATTTGGGTGGGGACACAGAACAAAACCATATCAGGATCTGAGTTCAAAATCCATGATTGACTAATTATTTGCCCTTGAGTAAACCACTTAATCTCTTCTAATTTTTGTTGTTTTTAAAATAGGGAAAATGATATCTATTTCTTGACACAGTGTTGGATACTTAATACAGTTTCATTTATAATTGGATTAGCAATGTATATTTTGGTACTTTTTGAAGTACCAAGTATAAAAAACTGTATATTTTTATTGTTTTAGGAAAATGATTATTTTTATAGCCTTACATAACTTGCATATTGTTATTATGATTAATGTTTTTATCTCACCAGTATAAAATTCAAAGGAAGATCATATCACTTTTTAATGTTCATATATTTATGAACATTCATTATATCATATATTATGAACATTCATTCAACAAATATTTTTGGAATATATGCTAATAGCCAGATTCAGTTCAAGGAGCTGAGGTGAGACTAGCAATGAACAAATACAAGTAGGTGGTTTGATTTTTCCTTTTAAAGTTCTAAAATTGTGTTTACTTGTCTTACGGGCACTCTTGCCTGTTTCTCTCACGAAGTACTATACTATACTATACTATACTTAGTGAGAGGAACAGGGAAGAGTGCCCATAGGACAAGGAAAGAACATCTGAAGGTCTAATAATTTCCCCTAACATTTGTCATTTTACTGCTGTTGTGGCCATATGCTATTGTTGCCATAAATAGAAAGTTTTCACAAGTCCCTACTTTATTATTTATTCTAGTAATGACCAAGTTAGTGAGGTTAGCATATTTCCTCATGGGGAAGTGGTAAGAGGAGGAGGTCTTTCTCTTTAGGGTAACATTTAAGCCTTGTGCCATCATTAGATGATACTTTAAATAATGTCATATTTTATTTTTCAGCTTTTTATTCACATGTCTATAGCATGCTCAGTAATGTCAGGATAGCCAGAGGGAAAACTATGCTGAACTCAGCCACATTGTGCCACTGCAGCTAACTTTACTTTAAAATAATTGGCTCAGTTATTGTACCTGGGTCACCCGCAAAGTCATTACTTATTCTCATGGTGAGTTTCTTTATTCATTCCTGTGCCCTTTCCTGAGAGCACACCTAATCTGAAACTATTTCAATCCGTCAGTCATTATCAGTATCAGTCAATATTGCTGAAAATAAAACTATCACAATGTTTAGTGATTTAAAACATCCATTTCATTAGCCTATGATTCTGTTGGTCTAAAATTTAAACTGGCCTCAGCAGGACTTCTTCATATGTATGTTTGAAGTCAACAGCATATTAGTAGGTTTTCTAACTCTTAAGATGACTGATGGCTCAGATGATGGAGGTGATTGAGCCATGTACCACTTATAATCCAGTAGGTTAGCGTTGGCTTCAACTCATGTGATTGTGTAGATTTCCAAAAGATGGAGAGGCAATAGTCATATTTTTTTAGGCTTTGGCTTAGAACCAGCTCAGTGTCACTTCCACATAATTTTATTGTTCAAAGTGAATGAGAAGGCAATTCCAGAATTTTAATGCAAGGAGCTACAAAATCATATTGAAAAGTGGCATGCATGTGGGAAGAGAAATAAGTACAGCCATTGGTACAACCAATACATGATAGCTCTTAGTTTGCTGCAATTAATCATATCAATGCTACATGCAAAATATACTCACCGACCCTAAGAACTCTGAAAGTCTTATGTAAGCATGGCATCATGTTCAAAGTCCAAAATCTTGGTATTACTTCATATTGAGATAAACTTCTAAAATGCAGCTCCTCTCTTAATTCATAGATCTGTGAATTCAAAATGCAAGCCATCTTCCCACACATTCTCAACATGTAATGAAGAGAAAGGGAGATGTTATCACAATACTCCTATTCAAAAGAAGGGAGAATGGAGGGTACACAGCAATCACTCCTCCAAAAAAATTCTGAAAACCTGCTAGATATACAGTTTGGCCCCCATATCCATGTGTTCTGCATTCATGAATTCAACAAACCAAGGATCAAAAATATTTAGAAAAAAATACACAAAATTAAAAAAAAACAAAACTTAAATTTGCCGTTTGCCAAGTACTACATTGAATCCATTCAATGAATTAATATGTGTGTGTTGTATTAGGTATTATAAGTAATCTGGAGATGATTTGAAGTATGTGGGGGGATGTAGATCATATGCACATTCTATGCTATTTTAAATAAGGTACTAGAGATTTCATGGATTTCAGTACCTAGGGGAAGGAGTTGGGTTCTGGAAGCAATCCCCCAAAGGATACAAAAAGATGACTGCAATAGACCAATTTACTTCATAAGTAGTAAATAATCCTTAATCATGGCCTTGTTATGCTATGCAATTGGAGCCTTGGGCATTTCTTATATATTGCTCTATAAAAGAAGCTACCCAGTCCATTGGATAGCTTTCTCAGCCAGCTTATTTACCTGTAAAAAGTTGGGGACCCAAAGACATTTATGGAATTTGAACCATTTAATCTCCTTTACCCTAGAATGGTTCTGCTTTTGCTGGCAAGCCTCCCTCAAGAATACTTTGAGGTATTTCTAGATGAAATATTTGCAAAGCTGTACTCACAGTTATTTTTGAGACATTTGTCTTTCTACAGCTACTGTTCATATGTCAGAGCAGCAAAGTTGCATTAAAAAGGATTTAGGCTGGGTTTATCACAGCTATTACTGAAAATTTCGGAGGTTGTCAAAGTTAAAATGGAGTCATTAATGTTAAAATTGTCCTTGCAAATGGAGCCAGAAAGGCTATGAAGAGAATGTTCTTATGCTTGTATGATTGATAACAAAAACTCTCACAAAAAAACTCTGCAAAAAACACAATCTTGTACAAAGGACATTGCAACCTTACTAAAAAAATACTTCTGCAAGGACATCTATTGAGCAACTGTCTGTCCAACCACAGACTCTAGTCACCCTTATTATTCATCTTTGTATCCAAAGATAACAATTTTAAAACAATTATGTAATCCTCCTCATTTTTTATTTAAAAAAACCTTTGTCTTCTTTATTCTCTGAATATGCGTATAGTTTGTTATGGCAGGATTATCCCCATTGCAGTATCCTATTTCCAAATAAGTAGCTTTTAAAAAATATTAGAGAGCCCCTTTTGTTATTTAGGTTAACAAAATAATCACCCACCTGGTCCATGTTTACCTCAAAAGGGAAATGTTTGGTGATCTCTGTCCTTTCTCTCTTAGAATGTTGCTTACCTTTCTGCCCAGGTATACTGCTCTCCTGGGAGACAACTTGCATGATCTGATAATTGGGAAGTGACTTCATCTATTTTAGTCATCTTAGAAAATAAAAAAAGGGGGAGAAAAATGTTTAACTAGTATATACCTGATAACTTTTCTGGTTACTCCAACATACATTTATGATTACTTAGCATTTTAGGGAAATAATTAGAGCACATCTGTTACATAGTAGGTCATAAGTGGGATGCATACTTGCATTTATTAGATTATTATCTAATATCTATAATATTTTCAATCTATACCATTGAAGCTATATAAGATAATCACAAAGAGTTCTGTATTTTATACTTTAAGATTAAAAAAGTAATCATATATTTGATTACCTAAGAGTTGTGCTTATGTTATTGGTCATAAGTGACCATTATTAAATGATGATATTTTTTCATAAGTATATTTAAATTGTATGTCTAATTTAAATTACCATGAATAAGTTCAGTCATGATTTTCATATGCTGATATATATGATTAAAACAAAAACATGATTTATACAATGAAAACTTAGCATACTCAGTAAATGTAGAAATAAGGTGTTTATTAGTTATTTTCTATAGCAAAATAATATTTTGCAATAAATATTTATATTCCTGTGGTTGTATCACTTTATCTGTCCTTATTCAAACATAAAGGTCTAGTGTAACAGGTGTCAACTTCCACAAAATATATAAAAAGCTTGTAACTTTATAACCTTGGCAATTTATTTCAGTAATTGCAATAAAATAAAGTTATGTTAAATTTTTATTTAGTTTCTAATTGTGTTCCGTAGCTATTTCTCAGTCAAATACAAAATTTCATGTCTATAAATATTTAGACCAATAATTATCATTATATTTAAATCATTATTTTGTGTTAAAGATATTTAATACCAGTGAAAGGATATTTCTGACCATAGATTGTAGTTATTACTTTGAAAAATGTTTAAATTTTGTCAATGTTATTCTATTTTTTTAAATAAAAATATTCTCCCATAAGAAATTCAGCCCCATCAACCCTTGCATATCCAGCCTTTAAGTTTGCCTAGGTGAAGTCCAGATATTACGAAGCAAGATATTTCGAGAGTGGATCTTGAATTATTGCAGTAGGATAACATTTACATGTAATGTATTTAAAAATATTTAGCACATACTAAAGAATGTGTCAAAATAACCACTTCTGGTAGTTTCTGTTGCAAAAATATTTCTTTTCTTTGTTAGAAGAAAGTTCCTATGTTATTAACAAGTGATGAACTCATGTGATAAAGGAATTTGAAACTAGTAAATTTATCTCCTCTTTTTGCTCTTTCCTCTTCATTTAATTCACAGATATTCAAAGTTAAAAAATTAACAAATATTTATTAAAATTGCAGCACTATAGTGTAAAGGATAAGCCACTCTACAGTGGCCTTAGGGATCTTGGTTCCCATCCTCACTCTCCCATTGATGTAAGGCAAATCATTTAAACTTGCTCATGAATGCTTCTTATCATTTGTAAAATGATTACTTGGAATCGTGCATTTATAAAGCCTCTTTAATAGTAGTCTAATATATTGTTATTGTAAATCTAGATCTTTTATATTTTTCTGAAGCATTCATTTTCTTTACCCTTAGACATTCCTTTTATATAAATAAATATTGTTTATGTTTATTCTTTATTATTTAATTCTATTAATAGATTTTTTAATGAATTAACAATACTAAGGAAAGCAAACCTCCCAGAGGTGGGTCCCACTGTCTTTACTTGCTCTCTTAAAATAATTGTGATAATATAAATAATTGTTAAATTCTTTTTGAACATTTGCAATATGCTATAGACTGTCCAAATAGTTTACACATACTAATTCACTAAATACAAAAATCTATGAAGTAATTATTATTATTATATTTCTTCTATAGTTTAAAAAAACTCAACTAATAAAGTTAGGCAATTTGCTCAAAATTAGAGAACTCTAGGAGATTGTAGCAATTTTTATAAGTGATATTTCTTCAAAGGGCAACTTGGGTGACTCATAATAATAGACGGTGATAAATGGTATAATGTATATCTTCAGAGGAGGTTAGGTTTAAGACAGCGATGCAATTGCCACTGTATTTCCTGTAACACTGGCACTTGGAGCCCTGAGTAGGCCTGTGAGTAGTTAATACCATGCTGTGAGTAACAGCTTAGAAGAGGCCAAATGTAGGCATTTAGATTTGCATTAGCTCTAGTCTAATAGTTCTATCATCCCAGATGCCAGACAGATGAGTGAATGAGTCTTCATATGTTTCTGGCCCCACCAACTATCGTATGCCCAGCCTTTGAGTTTGCCCACCTAAAATTCAGATTTCACAGAGCAGAGACAAGTCTCCTCAACTGTGTCCTGTCCAAATTACTGACCCACTGCACCCATGAGCATAATAAAATACAGCCATCCCTCAGTGAATGTAGGGGATTGGTTCCAGGACCTCTGCTGTATACCATAATCCAGGCATACTCAAATCCCTCAGTTGACTCTGTGCAACCCAATATGCAAAATATAAAAAGTTGATCTTCTGCATAATCAGCTTTCACATCCCTCACATCACAAAAATAATACAGTATTTTTGATCCACAGCAAGGTTAAAAATATCTGCATATAAGTTGACCAAGACAGCTCAAACTGGTGTTGTTCATGGGTCAGTTGTAATTGTCTTAAACTGATAAATTTTAAAGTATATGTTACACAGCAGTAGAAACTGGAACAGGAAGAGTCAGAATTTCCACACAGGTAGTCTGGCTCCAGAAGTTATGCTCTTAACAGCTACTGTGTGGAATATAATACCAGAAAAAGTCTGCAAAGTTAAAGAATATTTTATAAGTTTATTCAGAGTTTTGGATATCAGATGTGTATCAGATGTGCCATTATGCTTAAGCATCATCTACTGGATCACAGCCCGAAGCTTCAACACCAAAAGTACATTGCTAATATAACCTCAACCCACCCTGTGAAACCAAGGACAATAATTCAGCTACAAGTAAAGACACTGCACAAAGCCTCACACCCTGAAAACACTGAGAAAAGAAGTCTAATAACTGTGCTCAATTTACATTGCATTTAAAGGAACACCAGCACATAAAGATGAGAAAGTACCAGCATAAGAATTTTGGCAACACAAAAAGCCAGAATATCTTTTTCCTCCAAATGACTGCAGTAGTTTCCCAGCGATGATTCTTAACCTGGCTGAAATGGGTGAAATGACAGAAACAGAATTCAGAATACAGAGAGGAACAAAGATCTTTGAGATTCAGGAGAAAGTTGAAACCCAATTCAAGAAATCTAAGGTTTACAATAAAATGATACAGAAGGTAACAGATAAATAGTCATTATTAAAAAGCTGTATAAATGATTTTACACAGCTCAAAAACACATTACAAGAATTTAATGATGCAATCATGAATATTAACAGCAGAACAGATCAAGCTGTGAAAAGCATATCAGAGCTTGAAGACTGGATGTCTGATATAAGACAGTCAGATAAAAATAAAGAATAAAGAACAAATAAAATCTATAAGAAATATGGAATTATATTAAGAGACCAAAGCTAGGACTCACAGGCATCCCTGAAAAAGATAGGGAGAAAGAAGTAACATGAAAAACATATCTCAGAGTATTATTCATGAAAACTTTCCCAACCTTGCTAGAGAGGCTAACATTTATTTTTGAGAAATGCAGAGTACCTGTGAGACACAACACAAGAAGACCATCCCAAAGACAAATATTCATCAGATTTTCCAAGGTAAAAATGAAAGAAAAAATGTCAAAGGCAGCTAAAGAGGAGGGGTAAGTCACTGAACCAAAGAGAACCCCACCAGGCTGACAGTGGACCTCCACAGAAAGCCTACAACCAGAAGATATTGGGGGCCTATATTCAGCATTTTTAAAGACAAGAATTTCCAACCAAGAATTTTATATACTGCCAAACTAAGCTTCATACAATAAGAAATAGTAAGATCCTTTTCAGACACACAAATCTGAGAGAATTTGTTACTACTAGATTTGCCTTACAAGAGGCCCTGAAGGAAGTGCTACATAAGGAAAGATCTTTACCATGCACTACAACAACACACTTAAGTACACAGACCAGTAACATTAAAAAGCAACCACACAAACAAGTCTGCATAATAACCAGCTAATAAGACAATGGCAGAATTAAATCCATACATATCAATACTAACCTTGAATGTAAATAGGTTAAAAACCCCAATTAAATAAGACAGAGTAGCAAGTTGGATAAGAAGCAAGGTCCAGTAGTATGCTGCCTTCATGAGATCCATCTCACATGCCATGACACACATAGATTCAAAATAAAAGGATGGAGAAACATCTACCAAGTATATTAGTCTGTTTTCATACTGCTATATGCTAGAAAGAAATACCTGAGACTGGGCAGTTTATGGAGAAAAGAGATTGAATTAACTCACAGTTTGGCAGGCTGTATAAGAGGCATGGCTGGTGAGACCTTAGGAAACATATAATCATGACGAAAGGTGAAGTGGAACCAGGTACAATATTCACATGGTAGAGCAGAAGAAAGACAGTGAGGGGGGGGGGGGTTTACACACTTCCAAATAATCAGATCTTGTGAGAACTCTATCATGAAAACAGCAAAGGGGGAAGTCCACCCCCATGATTCAGTCACCTTCCACCAGGCCTCTCCTTTAACACTTGGAACAATTCAACATGAGATGTGGTTGGGGACACAGAGCCAAAGCATATCACCCAACAAATGAAAAAGAGAAAAAAGCTATGGTTGCTATCCTAATTTCAGACAACATAGACTTTAAACCAGCAGGTATAAAAAAGACAAAGAAGGGCATTACATAACAGTAAGGGGTTCAATTCAACAAAAGATCTAACTATTATAAATATACATGCACCAAACACAGGAGCACCAAGATTTATAAAGAAACTTCTGAAAGACCTATGAAGAGAGTTAGATTCCCAAACAAAAATAGTGGGAGATTTCAACACCCTACTGACAGTATTACACAGATCATCAGGCAAAAAAATTAAAAAAAAAAAAAATTCATGAGCTGAACTCAATACTTGACCACATGGACAAAATGAAAATCTACAGATACCCTAAAACAACAGAATATATATTATCCTCTCTACCACATGACACGTACTCTAAAATTGACCACACAATTGGCCACACAACAATCCTCAGCAAATTAAAAAAACAAAAAAAACCAAACAAATTATATCAGCCACATTCTCAGACCATGGTGCAATAAAAGTGAAATCAATACTAAGAAAATTGCTCAAAACCATATCATTGTTTCAAAATTAAACAACCTTCTCTTGAATGACTTTTGGGTAAATAAGAACTGTATTAGTCTGTTTTCACACTGCTGATAAAACATACCTGAGAATGAGCAATTTACAAAAGAAAGAGGTTTAATTGACTTACAGTTCCACGTGGTTGGGGAGGCCTCACAATCATGGTGGAAGGCAAGGAGAGTAAGTTATGTCTTATGTGGATGGCAGCAAGCAAAGAGAGAGATTTTGTGCAGGGAACCTTCCATTTATAGAACCATCAGGTCTCTTGAGACTTATTCACCATTATGAGAACAGCATGGGAAAACCTGCCCCCATGATTCAATTACCTCCCACCGAGTCCCTCCCATAAAAGCTGAGAATTCAAGATAAGATTTGGGTGGGGGCACAGCCAAACCATTTCAAGAACATTAAAGCAGAAATGTTGCATGTAGTGAAATCAAATATACAACATGCCAGAATCTCTTGGGACACAGCTAAGGTAATGTTAACTGGGAACTTTATAGCACTAAATGCCCAAATCAAAAAGTTAGGAAGATCTCAAATCAATACCTTAATATCACAAATAGAGATACTAAAGAAACGAGAGCAAATTACCCCCCAAAAGTAGCAGAAGACAAGAAATAACCAAAGTCAGAAGTGAACTGAAGGAAACTGTGACATAAAACTATACAAAAGATCAAATAATCCACAAACTGGTTCTTTAAAAAAAGTTAATAAGATAGACCACTAGCTAGAGTAATAAAGAAAAAAAACCCCAGAAGATCCATATAGACACAATTAGAAATGACAAAGTGGAATTACCAATAACACCATAGAATTTTTTTAAAAATCCCTATGGGCTATTATAAACTCCTCTATGCACATAAACTAGAAAATCCAGAAGTAACAGAATTATTCCTGGATACCTACACCCTCCCCAGAATGAACTAGGAAGAAATTGAATCCCTGGATAAAAGAATAAAAAGTTCCAGAGTGAATCAGTAATAAATAAAAAAAAAAAACCCTACCAACCAAAAAAAGCCCAGGACTAGACAGATTCACAGCCACAATATACCAGATGTATGAAGAAGAGCTGGTACCATCCTACTGAAACTACTGCAAAAAACCAATGACATTTTTCACAGAATTCCAAAAACCGATTTTACAATTCAAATAGTACCAAAAATAAATCCGAATAGCCAAGGCAATCCTAAGCAAAAAGAACAAAGCTGGAGGCATCATCTTACCCAACCTCAAACTATACTACAAGCCTACAGTGACTGAAACAGCATGATACTTCCACAAAAACAGACACATAGACCAATGGAACAGAACAGAGATATCAGAAATAGTGCCACATACGTAAAACCATTTCATCTTCAACAAAGTTGACCAAAACAAGCAATGGGGAAAAGACTCGCTATTCAATAAATGGTGCTCTGATAATTGGCTAGCCATATGCAGAAGACTGAAATTGGACCCCTTTTTATGTCATATAAAAAATCAACTGATGATAAAGACTTAAACTGAAAACTTAAAACTATAAAAATTCTATAATATAATCTAATAAGTACCATTCTGGACATATACTCTGGCAAAGATGTTATGATAAAGATGTGAAAAGCAATTGTAACAAATTAAACTAAAAATCTGTACAGTAAAAGAAACAAATTTTACTTAACAGAGTAAACAGACAACTTACAGATGATGGGAAAAAATATTTGCAAGCTATGCATCCAACAAAGGTCAAATATGACCAGAAACTAAATGGAAATTAAACAAATTTACAAGCAAAAAAACAAACAAGCCCATCTGAAAGTGGGCAAAGGACATGAATAGCCACTTTTCAAAAGAAGGACATTCCCAGAGCCCTGGAGAACTTGCTTACCTGAAAGAAAGGAAATAGGTTGGCTTGCTTTACCACATGCTGATTGTATAGCTATGGGGCCTTCAGCAGTAGCCAGGTAGTGGTTACAGCAGGCCTTGGGTGAGGCACACACAGTACTGTGCTGGCTTTGGGTCTGACTCAGTGCAGTCCCAGTGGTAGCAGCCACAAGGACGCTTGTGTCACCCCACCCCTGGTTCCAGGCAGCTCAGCACAGAGATAGAGAGACAGAGAAACTGACTGACTCTGTTTGAAAGAAAGAGTGGAGAACAAGAGTCCTTGCCTAGTAATCAAGGTAATTCTTCTAGATTTTATCCAAGAAACCAAGGTGGTACCTCTATGATTCTGCAAGAACTACAGCATTACTGGGATTGGCTTGCCCTCAAGGCAGATATGAATGCAGTAGTCAAAACTTGGATTACAGCACTTAAGTCCCATAAAACACCTATAAAGCATTCTTAAGAAGTGTGAGCACAAACTCAGACTGCGAAGTCTGTGAATACCTAACTCTTAAATGCCCAGACACCAACAAACATCCAAAAGTATCAATGCCATTCATGAAATCATAACCTTACCAATTGAACTAAATAAGATACCAGGTGCCAATCCCAGAGAAACAAGAGATATGTGACCATTCAGAGAATTCAAAATATCTACTTTGAGGAAATTATAAGAAGTTCAAGTAACACAGAGAAGAAATTCAAATCCTATCAGGTAAATTTGACAAGGAATTTGAAATAATTTTAAAAAATCAAGCAGAAATTCTCGAGTTGGAAAATGCAATGACATATTGAAGAATGCACAAGAGTCTCTCATTTTTTTTTTTTTTTTTATTTTAAGACAGGCTATCACTATCATCCAGGCTGGAGCACAGTGGCATTGTCTTGGTTCACTGCAACCTCCTCTGCCTTCCAGGCTCAAGCAATTCTCCCACCTCAGCCTCTCAAGTAGCTGGGACAACAGTTGCATACCACCATGTCCAACTAATTTTTGTAATTTTTTTTTTTTGTAGAGATGAGATTTCTTTTTCATAGACAATAATACAAAAACTGGTCAAAATTTAAAAAATGTTTGCTTATGGGTTACATATAAATTTGGAGTCAGGAATGACACCAAACAACCACAGATTGTCCACTAGGTGAATGATATAGTAACACCTTTTGCTTTTTGGTGGTTCACTGTACACACACATTGTTTCATGCACAAAATTATTTAAAATATTGTATAAAATTATATTTTTGCTATGTGTAAAAATGTATATGTAAAACATAAATAAATTTTATGTTCAGACTGGGTACCATCTCCAAGATATTTCAAAATAACAAAAAATCTGAAATCTAAGAAACTTTGAATAAAGGATACTCAGCCTGTATATTTAAATGTGTTAGAAATTACCAATAAATTCTCAAATTTGAGTATCTTTTTATTCCTATTAACGAGGTTTTATGGTTCCAGTTGTTCTACATCCTTGCCAACCCTTATTGTTATCAGTATTTTTAGTTTTAACTATTTTGGTGTATGTGTATTATATCTGATTTTTATTTTAATTTGCATTTCCCAAATAACTAATGACATTGATGATCTCTTGACATGGTCAGAAGACAACTGGATAGCTTATTTTTTATTTCGCTGATTTCAGTAATTTCTCCCTTTTTTATCAAGCTATTTATATGTAAAAGATTTTTATGTGTTTTATATATAGTAACATTTTCTGATACATGTGTTGCAAATAGTTTCGCCTTGTTTGTGGTTTGACTTTGTACTTTGCATTTTTTGGTGTGTAGTGGTAAAAATATGATTCTTTGTATTTGTGTCTAAAGTAAAATCTAAAACTATTGCTTAATTACTCTAATTGCTGATATTAGTCAGATCACAGCTTTCCTATGCTTTATGGTTGACTATAATCATCCTTCAGATTTGATACTTATTTTCATCTTAGCCTACTGTTTCTTAGCTTCTGACACCTTTAATTTTTATAAAAGTTTAGCTAAAGTGGACAAAAGAATGTGACATTCAGTAGATTAGAGTAACTATGGGAACCAAAAGTTTTTCTTTCATTATAGGCTGTGGGAATTGTAACGTTAGCACATTTTCTGCTATATGTTATTTTATGTTAACCATTCTCTTGGAATTTTTTATATTTTAATAAAATAATAAGCATTGCTTTCCAATATAAAATGTCTACTATAGAGCTTCCTTTTCTTCAGTAAGTTGTTCTCAAACGTAACTCTCAAATTGATAACTTAAATTAAGTGGCCTTTAAAACTTAAAACTATAGTTCCTGAAATTTCAGAAGGGTAGGCCTTAAGAATCCTACCAATGAATATCAATAACTCTAGCTCTAAAGATAACAGAGCACTCACAGAATTTATAATACTAAAATATGTGATTTTCTACTACATTAAAACATAGATTTAAAAATATCTGCTTAACGGAGACTTTCTTATTTAAAATCATACATCTATCCATATCCTGAGCTAAGAAAAAAGAAACCATGGAATTTCTCTCCTAAGGAGAACTAATAATAATATTTATCCAGATTAAGTTAAAAACACAGAGGACTTCTGTTGTCAGTCAAGGTAAAGTATAATCACTACAACCTAACTTCCTGCTATTATTACTACAGCTGTGGATAAAATATAAAAAGCAATTATGAGAAAATTGAAAAGCAAACTGAATCTAGCACATTGAGAGGGAAGACAAAATTTAGCAAACCTTTTTTGGGTGACACATGAGCAGTACAGATTCAAAGCAAGCAGAAGGAATGAAATTTTAAAGACAAATTTGGAAATTATAAAATAGATAATAAAAAATAAAGGAATCAATCAAATCAAAAGTTGATTCTTTGAAAGATCAACAAAATTGACATAACTTTGTCTAAACTGATCAAGTAAGATAAGAGAGATGACAACTTAGAAAAATTAGAAATGAAAGAATCAGAATCACTTCTGACATTACAGGGAGAGAAGTAAAATCAAAAGGGTATACCATGAACAATTGTATGCTAACAAATTAGATAATCCAGAGGAAATCTACAGATTTCCAGAAAGACATGTGCTAATAAGACTGAAGATTCAAGATCACATAATAAAGCTTAGACACATAGTAAACAAAAAGAATGAAATCATAACAAAAAAATCCCTAAATAAAGAGCCCAGTAGCTTCACTGGTGAATTTTACCAAATATTTAAAGAAAATTTAACAATAGTCCTTCACAAACTCTTGTGAAAAAATGGAAGACGAGGGAACATTTTTTATCTCATTTTTTGAAGTCAAACTTATCTTTATACCAAAACTAGACAAAGACTTTACAAGAAACAAAACAAAACAAAACAACTGGAGACCACTGTATCTTTTGATTTAGATTTTTCTAAATCTAAACATTTTCAAACATTTTCAAAATACTACTACTTTACAAAAGGTGATACTGTATCATTTGTATTAAAAACAATGAAACTTGACTCAGTTTACATTAAGTACAAGAATCAATTCTAGATAATTGAAGATCTAAATGTGCAGCAAAATAACGGTAACACAAGGAAATACCTTAACAAATTTGTGGCAAGAAAATAAATCTTCCAACAGGACCAAAAATCACTAGCATAAAGAAAATAGTTAAAAGTAGGAATTTCTGTTTATTAAAGACACTATTGAGAAGGTGAAACATAAAGACACACAGACAGAAGGTAGTTGACAAAAAATAAAGCCAGAAGATTAGATTGTTGACAAAAACTAGAAAAGGTATTGAATACAGAATATAAAAGGAATTCTTAGAGATTCATATAAAACAACACATTTAATTGTGCTTCTCACAATCAACACATACTATAAGCACAGGCACACACACACACAACTTAAAACTTAAAATGATTTCCAATATTATTTGTGATCAGAATCAAAATATATTTGCTGTACTTTGGAATTATTTATAATCTGGCCCCTGACTGTCATTCCAACCTTATTTTATGCTGCTTCTCCCAAAAAATCCAGGGTATTTCCTTCCAAGAAGTTTGCACAGAGTGATAGTTTTTCACAAAATTTTTTTTTCTAGCGTTTATACTGCCCAAACTTCAGGACTTGCCTTAAGTATAACCTCTTTATAAGCTGTTTAAAAATAAGAAGAGGAGAAGAGAAGAAAAAAGTCAGAAATTCGAAGCACAAGGATTATGCTTATTGTTTCTGGCTTGAAGAGACAGAATGCGACATGCAAAGTATGACAAGGAAATGAAATTTCGACAACCGGAATGAGCCTGGAAGAATATTCTTCTTCAGAGCTTTCAGATAATGGATAAGCCCAATGGATCTACTGATTTTGGCCCTGGGTAATCAAGGCAGAGCAGCCATCTGAGTGTGAGCAGCCTGGACTTCTGACCCATAGAAAGGGTTACGTAACAAGTAATCATTGTTTTAAATACTAATTAGTAGTAATTTGTTATGGCAATAGGAGAATATACAGATTTGGTACCAGGAGTGAGGTTCTGCTGTGACATACACCTAAAATATGTGTAAGTGGCTTTGGAATTGAACAGTGGGAAGAAACTGGAATACTTTTGAGGAGCCCATGATAGAAAATGCCTAGATTATTTTTAAGAGACTGTTATCAGAAATATGGACATTAAAAACGCTTCAGGGAAGGACTTTGAGAAAAAGTGAAGAGCATGGTAGAGAAAACTAAATTGCCATAGAGAATACTTAAATCACCACAAACAGAACAAATATTATGGATGAGAAACAGATGAATAGGTGGCATTGTATTCCCAGCACTATGTATTCAGGAAATGCCACTGTATAACTCTGTCATAAGTAAGTGTAAGGAAATGATGGGAAGATAATTGTCTTCTATTCAAAAAGAAAAATTATGTGTTTATAATAATACATTTCTGAGCTTTTAGTACTGCTGATTTTTAAATAGAAGTGTAAATATAAAATATATTTTCTCAACATGAAAAGGAGTATTCATTTCTAAAATTATGAAAATGAAATTTTGATTAGGTATGACTGATTAGCATTTTCAAGAATTATTTGAGTTGAAATCAATGGTGTAATTCATTTTGCTTTTATTCCACTGCTAGTTATATTGATACAACAGTGGAATATGTCCATGCTCTAGTGGGTAAATGATTCAGGGAAGACACAAGGGAGATTTTAGTCCTTTGAAGTTTATAAAATTGGAGTTTATTCCTTGGTTAAACAACTACTATGGTTTGGTAGCAATTTATAAATATTTTTAGCAATTGTTATATTAGGCATAGAAATACTGATCCTAAATGAATGGTAGAAAACAGTACTGCATTTTCATATCTATGCATATTCAGAAATTTTTTTTTACTCAGTGTAGATATAAAATTTTCATTTACTCCAATTCTATAATATGAATTAATGGAAAAATGATTATAAATGAATACAAATAATTCTTTCATAAATGTTAAATAACGTTACTTACAGTGAAACATTTGAAACATTTTAAAACTAACATCCACATTAATTCATCAGCAAGTATAAATAATATGAACAATTTACCAGGCATTCTGGGTTCAGGATTTCGTATTCCTGGCTCTTTTTACTTTTCGTAGGAGGATTATTTATTTAATTAAAAAAATGTATAAAATTGAAAATATAAAATTATCACAGCCTCTCAATGCCAATTGCCATGAAAAACAAATACAAACTACAAGCAGCCTATCTGGAATGCAAGTATAGGGCCCTGAAGTTAAGATTCCTTAGGATCTGGAAAAATTTGATTCTGACAACATATATTTACTTTAAGAAGAGCCCTGATTTAAGAAATATGGAAGGTATAAAAGAAACAGGTACTTCTTTATTTTGATAATTCTCATAGAGTTCATTAGATAATCATAGGTAACATTTATTAAATCTTTCCTCTCTATGACACAATGCTAAATACTGTGTCTAATAATTAGCTTATTTATTGCTTTTAGCTTTCTGAGAAAAATATTACTATTATCCCTATTTTTCACAGAAAAAATAATTGTCAAATGTAAAATATTTAAAGATTATAGAATTTGGATGCTGACAAATTGATATTTGAAGCTTGTGTTTTTAATCCCTTTTCAAAATTGCCATTCAGAAAAGGTAAATAACAATGAAGTAAAACAAGAGTGGAAAGGAAGCCATTTACTCATATTGTCAAAATAGTTGTATATTCTAGTATGTCTGTGAATTATTGGAAGATATGAGAGAAAAGTCATCATGATACTCCCTAACCAACAGGACAAACATATTTTTGATGATATATTTGGAAGGAGATGTAATCATGGTGATGGCTAACAGTCTTCTTTTTTACATATAGATTTTTCTCTTCTTTTCTATTTGCCTGTATCTTCAATTAATAAGCTGTACCTAGAAGATTATACTGTTAGTTATGAATATATTCTATTTACTCATTTTTCCATATTTTAAAATAATTCTACCACTTATTGATTTACATTTATATGATGACCAAATAAATTTAAATTCCAAGACATGGTTTAAGGCAAATGAGTACTAGAGTATTTTCCTTCTCTTTGCCTCAGAACTTTAAAAATACGTGGAAATGTAAATAAGGTTCAGAGAAGAGTGGTAGTGATTATTCACAATGTCAAACAAGAGCTACAAGATAATGTTAAAGAAACTGACTAATGAAAAGCTTCAATAAAACAAAAGATTCTTGCATTCAGGAGAGTGACCAACTCCTCTCAATCTCCACTAATAATGAACTGAGTAGAAATAAGTATAAATCACAGAATGAAAAATTTGTTAGCTATAAGAATTTTATATTTGTAAAATGAATACTAAACATATGTAAAAAGATTGCACAAAGGCCCTAAATCAAATTACCGTTCCATGTCAAAAAAATTATAAGAAAAAGAAAGAATCTTACGGGCAATACAAAGAATTCAAAAAGGACCGAATCTTGTCTCTGATTGATAGGATTAAATTGCTTTCTGTTCTCCTTGTATAGATCAATTTTACTATTGTTTTAGAAGGTTTGGAAATGAGACTGAAAGAATAAAAAATTAAACATATAAGTAAAAGTATTTATTATCATCAGTGTAGATGTTTTCTACATGTAGAAAAGGAAAATCAACTATCTCTTTAATTTAGCACTTAAATATAGTCTCCATATTGTTTGATTGATTTTTGTTGATTATCTGCTCATTACTGTAATAAGGAAGCTGAGACTCAGAAAGGCTAAATTAGCTTTCACAGGCCATGTAGTTACAGAATCAGGATTTGGGCTATGGCCTTAAATGTTGGTGTAATGAACTATATATATATATTTTTCCCAATTGTTCACTGTCTCACCTTCTTGCAGTATTTTCCATTTCTATGTTAATGGCATCTCACTTGATCTTGCGACCTTCTTTTGACAAAAATGGTGGGTGAAATGCCATTTGTTACTTCTGATGTAATATTTGAATTACATCAGAAGAAATTAAATTTATGAAGAAATTTAACATAATAACCAAAAATAACCTCTACAGTTGATTTCAAAACTAACATAAAATAAAAAGAAAAAAAGGCACTATTTGTCAATGGAGAAAGTAACAATTATTCAGGAAGTAACAATTATTTAGAATATAGAATTGATATTACTGTTGAGCAATTAAGAAAAATTACTTCAGAGATGCTCCTCTTGATTTACAATAAAATAATCTCTATAAATTAGAGTTAATATTTTGAAGTTAAATAAACGTTTATTTAAAAAAAAGTTGATCCTAAAAGATACCTGAAATGAATCTATATCTGTATATATGTCAATAAAGAGCAGGAGTCATTTCAGGAACTGAAATGATTATTTTAAACCTGTAAATAATTTATTTTGGAGGGGGGTATTGTATCAATTTCTGAGTTATTTAGGAGAGATAAATATAATGTCTAAAGATCAGGGCATTGCTGAAAAGGAAAAGTGTCAAAACAAAAAAATTGTTATACTTTTTAAATTAAAAATATAAGCTGAGCCCAGGAGTTTCATACCAGCATAGTCAACATTAGTAAGACCATATTTCTAAAAAAAAAAAATTTAAAAGGAAAACAATAGATAAGGAAATATATTTGTGATTTGTTTAATACACCTATTATTTTAACATTGCAAATAATAAAATATAAAGATCCCAGTAACTCAGTTAGCAAAGGCTAATGACTATTAGCCATTAATTGGTCATTAATAACCAATTAAATTATTGTATTTTTAAAACAGAGGTATTTTTAAGGACTTTTTTTTTGAGCAACTTTAGGTTCACAGCAAGAGTGAGAGGAAGATACAGATATATCCCATATACACACTGTCTCTACACATGCCTATTCTCAAAAATGGGGAATTTAAAATCTATTAGGAAATATCATTATAAAACTTATGTGAGACTATGCTATTTTTCTTTGTTAATTTCAAGAAAAACACACGTTGAAAACAACTAGAAGAGACCAAATACATACACATAAAGTTAGTATATGTTGTGTTAAGTTTGTAGAATTTTGGATTGAACATTTTCTCTTCTTTTTTTAGCTTTCCAAACTTTCTGACACTGTATTTTTTTCAAAATACTCATAATAATTTCCCAATGTGATATGTACTTCAAACTCCTGGGCTCAAGTGATCCTCCCACCTCAGCCTCATGAATAGCTGGGACAATAGGCAGGCACCACTATGCCTGGCTAATTTTTTTTTAATTGCTATTGTTTTAGTAGTAACATGGTCTTGTTATTTTGCCCATGCTGACCTCAAACTCCTGGGCTCTAGTGATCCTTTCACCTTGGCCTTCCAAAGTGCTGGGATTACAGATATGATACACCATGTCCAGCTTTAAGTGTTTTAAAACTGTCGTTTCAATCTGTGATTTCATTGCTTGATCCTCAAAACTATTCTCCTCAATGTATTTGTGAATTAATGTTGTTTTTCAAAGTCATTCAGTCTCAGTAAAATGATAAAAATTGATCACTGTCATTTGAGTATACATGAAAATTTAGGTGATGCCACTAAAAAAAGTTGAATTGGGGGAACAATGAATTCATTCAATTTAAGTTTAGTGTACTATACTTATGAACTGTGTAAATCACTTTTGTGATCGATAGCTGTCCTAGTCGAGAAATATTCATGCAAATAGACCAATTTTACCTTAATCATGTGAACTTCCATGATCTTATTTATTACGTAGAGGCATGAGTGTGGGTTCTCTAATTGCTTTTTTCTACAAATGCTAATATTTATCATAATATTATAACTACTTAGAAATCATTCCTGAGGGAAGATGGAGATTGGAATTTATTGTATTTATGTAGGTTGCATTTTTCTTCATTTGATATAAGCAACACAATAGACTATCATTTGAGAATTTTTCATTTGTGCTCATAACCATAATGTATTTCAATAGTGTTATCTTAGGATGAATGTAATGAAGGTGGAGGGATTTATTTTTCTTAAATTAATATTTTGAGGTAGAAATTACATAATAAAAATCACAAATATCTGAAGTGTCTACTTCAATGAGTTTGACTATATGTATCCTGAAACCATCATACAAATCAAGATATAAGCTTCCATTACCCAGAAACTTCCCTCAAGTACCTTTCTAGTCTATATGCCACCTCCTATTCACACAACACCAGGAAACCATTTTCTGATTTTTTAAGAATCCTAGATAGCTTTTGCCTTTACTTAGAAGTAGAATCATACTGAACATGATGTTATTGTAAACTTTTTTTATTCCCTCCATACAATGTCTGTGAGATTACTTCATGAGATGTGTATGTGTGTGTGTGTGTGTGTGCGCACATGTATTCTGTCCTTATGTTGATGACTGGTATTCCTTTGTTTGAATGTAAAAAATTTTGTTTATTCCCTGCATATGTGCATATATTGCTATATAAATATATATGCATATGGCAACATGTGTATATGCAATATATACAATATGTTCATATACACATATTGCTATATGTGTATATGCAATATATACAATATGTTCATATACACATATTGCTATATGTGTATATATATTTATATTGCTATATGGGCACATATGCATATATTGCTATATGCGTACATATATTTACATAGCAATATGTACATATATATGTATAGCAATACAACACATATATAGCAATATTGTATAAGGCTGCTATGACATACTATTTTTTTTGTGGGAGGAAAGGGAAATATTTCTGGTTAAAATTGATAAACATTTGAGTTGTTTATATTTTAGTGCTATCATTTATAAAGTTGCTATGAATATTTCTAAACTAGTGCTTTGTGGATATGGGTAGTTTTTTTAAATTTTGTTTTGTTTATCTTGGTAAATACTTAGGAATAGAATTGTTGGACCATAGCATATGTGTACAGTAAGTCCTCACTTAAGATCATCAGGAGATTCTTGAAAACTGCAACTTTAAGCAAAACTCAAAACAAAGACAATTTTTCTTCTCATCAATGTTATAAGGAAACAAGGAGTTTACATCATTCGAGGACCTGCTCTACATCATTTTGCTTAAAGTTACAAAACCTACCAACAATGTTAAGTGAGGACTTACTGTATGTTTAATTTTATAAGAAATTTCCAAATAATTATCAAAGCAATTGTACCATTTTACACTCTTGTCAGCAAGACATGAGAGTCCCAATTGCTCCACCTCATTATGAATACTTGCTTGTACAATTTTTAATTTTAACAATTCTAATGGGTGTGTGGTAGTTTTTAATTTGCATGTTTCTGATGACTAAAGATATTTAGAATCTTTTCATATGATCATAGCCACTCTTGTTTCTTTTTCTATGAAGTGGCCAAGTTTTTGTTTGATGTTAAATTATAAATAATTTCTATTCTGTTGTTAGTTGAAATATTTTATGAATTTTCATTAACTGGATTAAAAGTGTTGATTAAATCTTCCATATCCTTATCAAGTTTCTGTCTATTTTTTCTATTAATTACAGAAAGAGGTTATGTTAAAATCACTAAGCATAATTATGGACTTGTCTATTTTATTCTTTAGTTCTGTCAATTTTGAAGCTCCATTTTATGGTGTAATTGCATTTAAGATTTTATAGTTTCCTGATAAATTGAAACTTTTTATTGGAAAAAATTCTAGTAGTCTGCTGTTTAAGAATTTTTTTCTTAAACAATCTATATTTTTAAAAAATTTGAATATATTACGTTATGCTTGTTTGTGTTAGTGTTTGTTTAAAATCTCTTTTTCATCCTTTTACTTTTAACTTATCTATGAGTTTATATTTGAAGGGTATCTGTTGTAAACCACTGTGTTTGATTCCGGCTTTTTTATCTAATCTGACAATCTCTGCCTTTTTTAATTGAAAAATGTTTAATTTTAGGTTCAGGAGTACATGTGAAGATCTGTTATATAGGTAAACTTATGTAACGTGGGTTTGTTGTACAGATTATTTCATCACCCAGGTATTAAATCTAATACCCAATACTTATTTTTCTGCTCCTCTCCCTCCTCCCACACTCCACCCTCAGGTAGGCCCCAGTGTCTGTTGTTACCTTTTTTGTTTTCATGAGTTCTCATCACTTAGCTTGCACTTGTAAGTGAGAACATGTAGTATCTGATTTTCTGTTCTTGTGTTAGTTTGCTAAGGATAATAGCCTGCATCTCCATCCATGTTCCCGCAAAAGACATGATAGTGTTCTTCCTTATGGCTGCAGTATTCCATGGTATATATGTACCACATTTTCTTTATCCAATCTGTCATTGATGAGCGTTTAGGTTGATTGTATGTCTCTGCTGTTGTGAATAGTGCTGCGATAAAAATTAATGTGCATGTTTCTTTATAGTAGATGATTTATATTCCTCTGGGTATATACCCAGTAATGTGATTGCTGGGTTGAATGGTAGTTCTGCATTTAGCTCTTTGAGGAATTGCCATACTGCTTTCCACAATGTTCCCTTTTTCTGCAACCTCGCCAGCATCTGTTATTTTTTGACTTTTCAGTAATTGACATTCAGACTAGTGTGTGATGATATCTCATTGCGGTTTTGCTTTGCATTTCTCTAATGATTGATGATATTGAGCTTTCTTTTTCATATGCTTGTTGGCCATATATATGTCTTCTTTTGAAAAGTGTCTGTTCATATCCTTATTCAACTTATTTTTAATGTAGTTATTGATAATGGTGGGCTTGATTCCATCTCTTCAATTTTTTTTTTAAATTTTGTCATGTGTTGTTTGTTTTTGTCTTTCTCTTGTCCTGAATTTTTGGTGTAAATTTTTTGTTGTTTTTTTAAAAAAATTATTTTATTCTCATTGACGTTTTTAACTACGGCTCTATGTTTAATTTTTTAATTGTTGCTCTAGTATTACAATATATATTTTCAAATTAACACTCACACCTCTGAATTAATACTATATGCAATTTTCAATCTAAAACACTTGCATCCTGGACACAAATATTTATATTTTTCCCATATGCCCATATACTCACTGTCTACTCCAAAATTCTAATCACATTACTACATCAGAATCATGCTTAGGTTTTAGTATCCTGTTATCTAAATCACTCCCAAGTGTGTATGAGGCAGATCAAGTCCCACTCATTTGTAGCTTCTCAGGGAACCCTCTTAACTGAGACCTATGAACTAATACCTCTGAATTCCCAAACTACAAGTGTGAAACAGGGACAAGATAACAGCAGGATTCACTCTCATTCAAAACAGAGAGGAATGAGAGCATATAGCAGTTACTGGTCCACAACAACTCTGGAATTCAGTCACACATATATCTCCAGATCTCAAGAAATGGGGAATAGTCCTTAAGTAGGGCCCAGTTTGGCTCCCTGAGGATGGTACCTTCTCTCTGCTTTAAGTCATGTGTCAAGCCATCTGTCAATCTCTTTTTTATCAAAGATGTTTTATGTCTGTAATTAAGATTTCTCAGTCTGTTTAGTGCCCTTAGGTATTCTGTAAATTTTGGTGAGAACTCCTTGCTAATTTGAAATGAATATTTGTCACAGTTTGGGTTTCAGTTTGGTTAAATTCAAATTGTATTGTTCAAAATGTTTATATACTTACCAATTCTGCCTGTGAGTTTGTGTGTGTGTGTGTGTGTGTGTGTGTGTGTGTGTATTCCAGCTATTACTTACATGGTTTGTTAAAATCTCTAGCTGTAATTGTAAATTCTTCTATATTTTATTTTAGTTTTCTCAACCTATACAAATAGTTTGGTAATGTTACTAGGTACATATGTGGTAGTGTATGTTTTATGCTAGTTACATAAATATTACTTAGGTTTTGCTACACATATGTTACAAATATGTCACATGGTAATTAACTTTTAGGATGATTACATTTTCCTGTTAAATTGGATTATTTATAATTGTGAAGTAGCC
The DNA here is from genome assembly GCF_000001405.40 of Homo sapiens. Taxonomy (NCBI): domain Eukaryota; kingdom Metazoa; phylum Chordata; class Mammalia; order Primates; family Hominidae; genus Homo; species Homo sapiens. Next base: position 153,249 of record NT_187555.1, read on the forward strand.
CTCTTCATCTCTTCTAGTATTTCTATTCTTAAAGTATAGTTTTTATATGGCATCAGCAACTTTCTTTTGGTTGAAATTTGAGTAGAACACTATTTTTTATCCTTTTTCTAGGAAAGTTAAATGTTCCACAGCTTTAAAATATGTGTTTTTTTTTTTTGTGAACAGCAAATGCTTATTTTTGTCGATTTTGTTGAAGATCAGATGGTTGTAAGTGTATGGCATTATTTCTGAGTTCTCCATTCTGTTCTGGTGCAGGGATAATAGGCTAGCCATATACAGAAGACTGAAACTGGACCCATTCCTTAGAATCAACTGAAGATGGATTCAAGACTTAAGTGTAAAAGCTAAAACAACTCTAAAAACTCTGTAAGATAATCTAGTAAGCGCCATTCTGTACATAGGCCCTGGCAAAGATTTCGTGATGAAGATGCCAAAAGCAATTACAACAAAAAAAATTGACTAATGGGACCTAATTTAACTAAAGAGCTTCTGCACAGCAAAAGAAACTATCAATAAACAGACACCCTACAGAATGAAAGAAAATTTTTGTAAGAGATGCACCCAACAATGGCTAATATCTAGAATCTGGAACTTTAACATATCTACAAGCAAAAAACAAAAAACCCAATTATAAAGCAGGCAAAGGACATGAACAGACACTTCTCAGAAGAATATATACAGCCCTCCAACAAGCATATAAAAAGTGCTCAACATCACTAATAAAGAGAAATGCAAATCAAAACCACAGTGAGATACCATGCCACATCAGTCAGAATGGCTATCACTAAAAAGTCAAAAAATGACAAATGGTGACAAGGGTGCAGAGAAAAGGGAACACTTATATACTGCTGGTGAGAATGTAAATTTGTTCAACCACTGTGGAAAGCAGTTTGGTAATTCCTCAAAGATCTCAAAGCAGAATTGCCACTTGCTTTGACAATTCCATTATTGGATATATACCAAAAGGAATATAAATTATTCTGTCATAAAAACTTATGTGAATGTATGTTCATCACAGCATTATTCACAATAACAAAGACATGGAATTAACCTAAGTGCCCATCAATGGTGGACTGAATAAAGAGTGGTTCATATACACCCTGGAATAACATGGAGCCATAAAAATAATGAGATCATGCCCTTTGCAGTAACATGGATGGAACTGGAGGTCATTATCCTAAGTGAACTAACACAGGAACAGAAAACAAAATACTGCATGTTCTCACTTAGAAGTGGGAACTAAATACTGAGTACATATGAACACAAAGAAGGGAACAACAGAAAACGTGGCCTGCTTGAGAGTGGAGATTCAGAAGAGGGTGAGGATAGAAAAATTACCAACTTGGGTACTATGCTTATTACCTGGGTAACAATAAAATCTGTATGCCAAACCCCCGTGACACGCATTTTACCTATATAACAAACCTGCACATTTACCCTGGATCCTAAAATAGAATTTTTTTAATTTTATTTTTTATTTTATTTTATTTTATTTTTTTTGTGTGAGATGGAGTCTGGCTCTGTCGCCCAGGCTGGAGTGCAGTGGCGGGATCTCGGCTCACTGCAAGCTCTGCCTCCCGGGTTCACGCCATTCTCCTGCCTCAGCCTCCCCAGCAGCTGGGACTACAGGTGCACGCCGCCACGCCCGGCTAATTTTTGTATTTTTAGTAGAGCCGGGGTTTCACCGTGTTAGCCAAGATGGTCTCGATCTTCTGACCTTGTGATCCGCCCGCCTCGGCCTCCCAAAATGCTGGGATTACAGGCCTGAGCCACTGCGCCCGGCCTAAAATAGAATTTTAAAAAAGTTTGTCCCCTTTTTAAAAACTCTTAGCCATAGTTGTTTTAATATTTTTTCTAATAATTTTTATTACTTATAAATCTTTTTCTATTGACTTTTATATAATTCTAATTATTTGTTTCTATGTTCTGCTTCCTGGTAAACATGGCAAATTATTTTGTTGTTAAATGTATGAGTTTGTATAAGACAAATTGTAGTCACTCTGGATAAAGTAGTCTTCCATCACAGAGGATGTATTTATTATTTATTTATTTATTTATTTATTTTGGCAGAAGACTGCAAGATAATAAAAAAATACTTTGAGGCTATTAATAATTTTTCCTTTATTTCTAGGTCATCTCCAATTACCTCAGAGATATCCATTTGAAACCCTGAAGTGTTTACTGGGCTGCTTCCTACTTGCAGTCTTTGAACTCAAATTGTTTTCTTCTCTGTACTGTAAGAATGTTGAGATCTATACTTGTTATTTTTAGTTAGCAGGTGTATTCTGCTTGCTTTCTCTGCAGTTGGTCCATTTATGTTTAGCATATTATTTACTATATGCCCCAAGGAGAAATTCCTGCAGAATGTTGGGTTTACTTCTTAATGTCCTTTTGTTCTTTGGGATTCTTTTCTCCGAAATCATTTTTGCCTCTATAGACCCAAACTCCCTTATATTTCACTTCTAAATTCAGTGAAATGCATTAAATAATATATGCTTTTTTCTACTAAGTCCTTATTGCTCTTGTGTGAACCAGCAAATACTCTCTGGAAAAAAAGCTGCAGAGAAGTTTGGCTTGCATCAGTGAGCATTTATCTCCAAGATCTTTGTCCTTCAAATCTTGACTGCCTTAGAATACTATGTGGTGTTTTCAAAACTGTTTTGTATTTTTCCAACTCATAGATGGTATTTGTGGGGAGATTACTCTGAAACCAGTGATTGAGTTCATATACAGAGTACTGCATGGACAATACACCAGAGGGAAACAAACTTTCAATACATTTTTTATATATTAAAAAAAATGTATTTTCAAAAATTACAACCCAAAGCAAAAATACAGAAAAGTTTCTGTACTATATTTCAACATATTGTATTGCTATAATATATATATATTTCTTAATGCATATCTTTATTTTCTTGTGAGTGTTAATCTTGTCTGAACTTATGCTGTAAAACTAATTAAAAAGAGAGAAAAGAGAATATACCTAGGTAGTCCCAGATTCCAAGGAGCTTACAAACACTTTCCACAATTTCAATTCAGTAGCTGATTTATATTCTTCTAAATTGTTCTTTAATAAATGGTAACTACAGAGATAATTATGTCTCTGTAGTACATTCACACTCTTCCAAACAAACTTGGCAATAAGCCAACCATATTATTATTGAAAGGGTCTTTAACTAAATCTATAGAAAATTAATTCTATCCTCAAATAAACTTTCTGAGGTATCCATGACACTACGTGTGTGCGTGTGTGTGTGTGTGTGTATGTGTATGTGTGTGTGTGTGATTGGATGTAAATCATTTCTAATAGATGGAATTAGAAAGGTATGGATTTGCATTTCTATACATTTCTTCAATTTTTTTTGTCATTGAAATATGTCAAAAATGCATTAGATGAACAAAGGAATGGTAGAAGCTAATGGTGGGTATATAGATTTTAAACACGCCATTTTCTTGTCCCTGAACTCACAGAATATTTTGGATGCAGTACGGGAGGAAATTACTTCTTTTCTGATATTAGATGCAATAGTTATGGAAATTCTCTCCCAGGATAGCGTCTTTCTCATTCAGCACCAAATTACCATTATCGTAACAGCTGTGTCAGCTAGCCAGGGTTCTTCTTAAAGCAAATGGAAGTTATATAATCTTCCACTCACTGTCATGCAAGATAAAGTATAACCTCATAATAATTCTGGATTTTTACATTAAAAACAATTGCATAACAGTGTCCCATTTATGGGGAAGATTGTACTAAATATAACAAGAAGCAATAAGCTTTAAATTTTCAGGTTGTAATGAATGTGAACTAAAAACAATGACATCCCATTAGAAAATACATTTAAATAACATGGAAAGGCAACTCATGATAAATATTTTTAAAATATTGAAAATAATCTGTACATAAACATGGTGAGATAATTAAATTAAAATTAAAAATAAACTTACATAATTACATAAACCTGAATAACATATAACAGATAATTTGGGCTTACTATTGAGAATACTAGATGATAAGTTGGACAGATATCTTATATAATTATACTACCTTGCAAGAAATGTACCCATAGTCATCATCTCTCTTAATGTTCACAATAAAAAAGAAAGTTAGAGTAATATAATTTTCTAAATCTTAAATATACTCTATATCCAATTAAAAATCTAATACAATAGTTGGAAGAGAAAATTTTACATGCTGATGTTTATGTCTAATGAATGAAAAAGTCTGTTATTGATTTGCAAGATCTCTTAAATATTAAGTACTTTAACTTTCTGCTTTGTATATATGCTGCAAAAAGTTTTGATATCTGATGTAATTTCACTTTTTACATTCCTCGATAAGGGTTTTTACTATTTGTTTGTCTGCTTTTAAGGGAACAAATACCAAGTCTTTATCTTGCAGTATGGCAGAACAAATGCCCTGATCAACAACCTTGCTTAAAGTTTTGTAAATGTAAGGATGAGTTTGCAACAATACAAGAATTCATTAGATGACAAAAACGAAGTGAAAGTGAGAATCAAGAGAGGGAGAAGAGCTCTGCACTCACTACCACTCACGCTGAAAGACAAAGCTCAGTATCTCTCCTAAAAGTTCCAATAGAATGCTCCCAAAAAATGCTGGATCACAAAGGACTATCATTTTTAAGAATAAGCCAGGAATAAATTAATGTTTTCCAGAAGAGAGCAGAGAAAAACATCTGTCTAAAAACTTGATACTAAGTTTATAAGAATGGTATTTTCCTATAAGATCTACTTGTTCTATGAATTCATAGTAGATCAAATTGTATATGAGTACTTTGATGAAGATATATTCCCTACAATGCGTTCTGCCAATCTTTGATTATACAGATTTTATCTTGTTTTCTTAGAAACCCTCTCTCCACTTTGAAATATTTATATTTGCATTTTCCAGCATAATTTTGGTTTCTTTTTTACATTTAAGTTTTTTAATCCAGTAGGATACATACTTATGTTAGGCATGAGAAAGAGGTAGAGCTTTTTTTTTTCCACAATTAATTTTTTTCCTAGATCATTTTTCCTTCAGATGACATTAAAATTATGTCTAATGGATTTTATCTATTTTTTATTAATTTTATTCCTAGGTATGTTTTCTACTTATGGCTAATATTTTATTTTATATTTTTAAGCTAGATGTTAGGGGTTTAGAGGAAAACATCTCGTTTTGATTTTGTAACCTGACATGATAAAGTACGCTACTTTTACTTCTGATGTAGCTTTTTACATTTTTTTGGTTTCCTTATTTGTTTTTTGGGAGGGTACAATGAAAGACTCTGTGTATACTTATTTATTTATTATTTTGATACGCAGTTTTGCTCTTGTTGCCCAGGCTGGAGTGCATGGCGCAATCCAGGCTCACTGCAAAATCCGCCTACCGGATTCAAGCGACTTGTCTTGCCTCAGCCTCCTGAGTAGCTGGTATTACAGGCATGCCCTATGTTGCCCGGCTAATTTTGTCTTTTTAGTAGAGATTGGGTTTCACCATGTTGGTCAGGCTGGTCTCTAACTCCTGACCTCGTGATCCGCCTGTCTCAGCCTCCCAAAGTGCTGGGATTACAGGCGTAAGCCACCGCACCCGGCCGTGTACTTTTTAAAAAAAATTTTAATGCTAGAGGCATCGTATTACTCCATTCTCAGACTGCTATAAAGATACAACCCAAGACTGGGTAATTTATAAAGGAAAAAGATTTAACTGACTCACAGTTCCGCATGGCTGGGGAGGCCTCGGGAAACTTAAATCATGGTGGAAGGGGAAGCAGGCCCCTTCTTCTCAAGGCAGTAGGAGAGCGTGTGTTTGTGTGTGTGCGTGGGCGCGCGTGTGCGTGCGTGTGTGTGTGTGAAGGAGGAACCGTCAAATAGTTATAAAACCATCAGATCTCGTGAGAACTCACTCACTATCGCAAGAACAGCATGGTGGAAACCGCCCCCATGATTCAGTCACTTCCTACCAGGTTTCTTCCTCCATACCTGGGGATTACAATTCAAAATGAAATTTGAGTGGGTACTGGTCATGAAACAGAGGGAGATAAAACTAACAGATCATATTCTAAATGTATTATAAAATGATTTGAATAAAATAACTTACATAGGCTATAGGCATATAATACTAGACTGTAATTTGAAATCTGTTTTGTGGTGGTGGATGCAGACTAGAAACAATGTTAATTTTTTAATTTTTTTTTTTTTTTTTTTTTTTGAGGCAGAGTCTCGCAATGTCACCTAGCCTGCAGGTGCAGCATAGCTTATTGTAGCCTCAATCTTCTGGACTCAGGCGATTGATCCTCCTGCCTCAGCCTTCCATGTGGCTGGGACCACAGTAATGCACTACTAGGCCCAGCCAATTTTTTTATTTTTTTGTAGAGATGGTGTCCGACTTTATTTCCCAGGCCAGTCTCAAACTCCAGGGCTCAAGCTATTATCCCACCTTGGCTTCCCACAGTGTTGGCACTACAAGTGTGAGCCACTGACTGGGACAAATGTTAAATTTCAAGAAAGAAAGAATACAACGATGAGAAAAGACTTAATTCAGGTCAGGTTCAGAAGGTATTTTCTTACTTCAAATAACAGGCTCAGGGTAAATTCTCCCAGTCACTGTGGTACTTAGCACACTCCTGTATAAACATCTTTTCTTGTGTAGGTGATTTCCTTTGAGTTCAGGAGATGACAAGCTATATCCTTTTGTACTGTAAAGGGAACAATATAGTTGAAAAAATAATTATATCAGTATTAAATATTCGTGTTAAAAACAAAAATATTTGTTAAGAATTATAATATTATTTAACATATTTTATTATCAACAATAGTGCACTCTAAAATGGCATTAAAATAGCCACCAGCAACATATCTTGACCTTATTTATATTAATGGTCTTTCTTTCAGTAAAATTATACCTATTGCAATGAGAAATGATTTCTTGGCATTCTTGTAATAACTTATATGTATCACAGCTTAAAATATCAGCAGTTACATACTTTCCTATTAATAACAGCATGCCTAATTTATTCTGAAATGAGTGACATTGGTAATTGACACAAATAAAAGTTGTTTCTTTTTTAAATGTCCCTGGCTGTTTGCTTGCCGGGAAGTTTAGAAGAACACCATCATCTGTTACTCTTATAAATATATGAAAACAACAAGAACACATCTGATGTTGAAGGAAAAAATTGCATTTTCAATCAGTGTCTTGTGAAACGAATTAGAAGTTCTGTCAGATAATGTAAATCAATGAAAGCTATATGTAATATCCTGTTTATAGCACCTGCTTCTCTGCGAGTTTGCCTTTTTTACATTTGCAGGAAATTGGAAGAAAATAAATAACAATTTGAAGAAAAAATAACTTGTTTAATTTTTCGTTTTAATATCCCCAAAATAAAATTTTAAAATAACAAAAAATAAGCAATGTTATTAGCTTAGGTGGCATAATTTAGGCTCAACCTATGTAGTTTATTTTTGTAACCCAATGTTTTTCAAATTGTCTGGCACAGAATTGATGTTCAATAGCTGTCTTTAAATTGATAGTGAACTGAGATTAAGGAAAAAATAGACATGATCTATTAAAATATAGTGAAAATCTATGACTAGATTGCTATGATTAATGGACAAGCAGTGGAGTTATTATGAAACTGAAATTAGTGAAACCTGAGAAATGAACAAGTTTATCTGTTTGGTCTTGCATCTATAATGTTACTTAATTCACTGCTCACTTAGGGTGATTTGTGAAAAATACATACAATAAAATGGAAATAAATATTAAGGTATTACAACCATGGAGGATATGAATAAAAATGGAAGATACACATTTGAAGAGATAACATCATTTCCAATACGTTTATTTCAATTAAAACAATAAAATTCACTTTTTTGCTTTTATATATCACAGAAAATTTTTCCACAATTAAAGGACTGATGAACAAATGTAGATATTTTATGTACCTTATTGACTTCCCTAATCACTAATCATTTTTATGTATAACTAGATGTGTTTAAATTTCATTTTGTAATATGGTACCCATAAAAACAGAGGTTTCATATTCAATCTGAAACTATTAACTAAATCCAAAGAAATTTAATGGCAAAACTACAGTTGTTTTTTAATCAAGTTTTCTAAGAAACGGTAAAAACTGTCTTCCAAAATGGCTATGCTATTTTTCATTCCCTTCAGCAATGAATGAGAGCTCCTGTTGCTCCACATCCTTCTCCAGCATTTACTATTTTCAGTGTTTTGGATTTTGCTGATTCTAATAACTGTTGTTTTAATTTACAAATCCTTAATGATATATGATGTAGAGCATGTTTTCATGTGCTTATTTGCCACATACCATTTTTGGTAAGGTTTTCATTTATGTCTTTTGCCCATTTTTTATTCAACTTGTTCATTTTCTTATTGTTGAGTGTAATTGGTTTGATCTTTTTCTTATTATTTATTTTCCTATAGTTGAGTTTTAAAGGTTAAAAATGTCAGTTATTTCCAAAATGAGCTATAGTTTCAATGAAATCTCAATTAAAACCCAGCAAATTATTTAATGTACATTGACAAACGGATTCAAAATTTATATGGGAAGGAAAAAAATACAGAGTAGCCAACATAATATTAAAAGAGAGGAATAAAGTCACAGTGTTACATGATCCTTGGGGTATAGTTTTTCTGGCCAGAAAGGTGCCTCTGAAGCCAGGGGCGCCTTTGGCTGCATTTTGCCTTGGATCTGCAAGGCTTGTTTTGCCCACTCAGCTTATCAAGCTATGCTCAGCTCACCCTAGAGGCCTCAGTCTCACACCTGCCAAGGGAGAGTCAAGTATGGAACAAAGAGGGGTGTGTGAGTGAATCCGACATGCCAGCTGCTGCAGGCTGGTGGGCAGCTACAGGTGCCAACATAGGCGCCAGCTCTCTGCGAAGCTGCAGACGGACCAGGCACACTGGAAGCAGCTTCCATGGCTGGCACAGGGGAACATAGTGGCACACAGAAGCTTGGAGATGCAAGGGACTACAAGGCCCCAAAGTGGGAGTCACAGCCCTGACCTTGGGAGTTTCTAGGTCTGTGCTCCCTGAAGGGCCTCAGCTCTTCTCCCCTTCTCCTTGCCTGAAACATGGCAAGCAAGGGACATGTTTCTGCCCTGTTTGTGTTACAGCTCTTTTAGCTCTGCCATTCGACAGGTCCCAAATTCTTGTCCTGTGATCAGGAGGAATGAGGTATGCACAGAAGTGAAGGGTGAGCAAGACAAAGAGATTTATTGAGAGATAGAACAGCTCAGTCTCCTGAAGGAGGCAGCTCCTTTCAGCAGCCAGGGTATCCCTATGATGAGTGTTCAGCTCCTAGGCATGAGGAAATCCTGGAGTGGGAGGCTCCTCTCTGCAGGCAGGTTGTCCCTGTTGTCTCTGCAGCTCTCAGCAGAGAGGAGGCCCTGGAGTGGGTAGCTCCTCTCTGCAGCTGGTCATCCCAATATCTACCCAGCTCTGGCTGAGCGTGGGGCTTTTATGAGCCTCAGAGGGGAGGAAGTGCACACCAATTGGTCCATGGGCAGCCATAGGCAAGCCCAGAAAAGGCACCACAAGTTCACACTCAGGTCCATGGGAGTAGCAGCCCACACACCAGCCTTAAGGCCCTCTCTGGCCTGAAGTTGAGGCCTCGCCAGGGACCTGCTCCCTTCTCCCCAGGAACTTGTCTGCTTCCTGCTTCCTTTCATGGAGCCCAGTCTGTAGGTGCCAAGGGGAACCTGCAGCCCAGTGCTGAACTTCCCTTAGTACCCCCTTGGTTTCCCTCCTATGCTCATTGGTACCCAAAATCTAGAGGGGACTGAGGTGGGAGGGGGCTGGTGTGTCAGCACTGCGCCACGTGTGTGTGTGTCTCAGCAGGATGTAACAGCGCCTGGGCTTGGCCCTGACTTTGCTCTAAAATTGGAGTGGGCACTGACAGCAGGGAGAAACCAGGCCATAGGAACAGACACTTCTGAGCCTGTGGAGGCAGAGGGGCCTTCCTGGGCACCCAAGACTGCAGGGATGATTTGGGTGGCTATAGCTACACCCAGGAGGGTGCCCCCCCCATTCTGTGGAGAGGGAGGCCTGGGTCTGCAGCTGTGGTTTGGGCAGCTGCACCTGTGTCAGGGAGGGTGGGGCTCCACCTGCCCCTGGACCCCCAAGGGCACAGAGATGCCTTGGTCCACAGCCTGGCTTGGGCAGCTGCAGTGGCACCTGAGGAGCTCCCACTCCAAATCAGAAGAGGTGAAGCTTCCACTTGTCCCTGGCTCCCGCTGACTCCATGGAGCATGCAGCCCCAGCCATGCCTCCTTGTTGAAGCTGGCATGATGGCAGTAGGCTGTTCCAGGCAGCCTGCTGCTGCCATCAAAAGGATTCATTACCCTACTTTAAGACTTACTATAGAGCTGCAGTAATCAAGAGATGTGGTATTGTCAAAAAAATATGCAGGCCATTGAAACAGAATAGACAGCCCAAGAATGCATCCACAAAAATATTTAGCTAATCTTTGACAAAGAAGCAAGGAAAACAGACAATGAAGCAAAGATTGTTCTTTCAAAAAATGCTACTGGAACAACAGGGCATCCACATGAAAAACAAAAATGCATACACAGACCTTACATCCTTCACAAAGATTAATTCAAAATAAGTTATTAGACCTAAAGATAAAATGCAGAACTATAAATCTCCTAAAGGATAACAGAGAAGAAAGCAGATATGACTTTTTAGATACAACACTATTGCATGATCTATGAAAGAAAGAACTGATGTGTAAACATTAATATTAAAAACTTCTGCTCTGTGAAAGAAAGGCACTGTCAAGGGAATGAGAAGATAAACTACAGACTGGGAGAAAATATTTGGAAAAGACATACCTAATAAAGGACTGTTATCCAAAATGTACAAACAATTTTAATATTTTAAATATATTTTTAAAATACATTTTCAACTCCTTCTCCTTATTTATGCAATTATTTTCTATGTTTGTATTTTCGGAGGTTTGATTAGACATATAATAGCCAAACATTATGGTGTAAAACTATGGTACTGTGATCCATTCCATTAAACAATATTTTAAAAAATAGTAGACAAATTTCAAAACATTAAATAGTTGTATACTGATCCTATTTATACATGATTTATGTACAAGCATGTATAATCACATATTTTACATTTATAAAATATTTTCTACATTCATATTTCAAAGTATGTTACATGTATGATGATACATAGAAATATAAAATATAATTTAGAATACATAAATAGAAAACATAAAAACATCTATATTATATACACAATATACTTTTTAAATAATTTACCATGGAACACATAAAGGAATATGTCATAAGTATAAGAACACTATAAATCATACAAATATAAAAAATATAAATGTTATAAAAAATTAAATGTATTATGTAAAATAAATATATAACATCAGTTAATATAGTATATTGTATCAAATAATAATTTAACAATAAAATATAATATCATATCATTATATAAAATATCTAACAAAGATTTCATGGTGGAATAACATAGCCCAAAACTAGTAGATATATAGGATCTGACATTGAGTTTCTGTTGGGGTAATAAAGGGGGATGTTATTCATTCTTGCTGGGTTATTTCTCTCTGTCTGCCCTAGAAACATTCTCTTTATTTTTCCAGAGATTACTTAAAAAATATTTCTCTTTGTTGACATTTCTAGCACCCAAACCACTGTTAAAGTATTCTTTCTATGTAGCATCATAGTAATTGCACAAAATAGTAAATGTCACTTTAGCCTTTAACATTTTAATATTATAGTAGTAAAATCATCTGTGAATTTCCCTAATAAACTAGACCTCATTGAACATAAGATTAAGGGCTTCCTCCCTTTTATAGCCCCAACAATAGGACAGTGCTTGGCTTTTAAAAAGTGCTGAGTAAAATTTTCTTAAGGAATTAATATAATAATGTTTGTGTATAGTAGCTGTAAATAATGGATTACTGGGTAGCCTGTCTAGTCATTCCATTATACATTTTTTCTATCTATAACCCAGTACCATTCACTCCTTAGTACTCTTTCTCTCCTATTTAAAGCACATAATGTTAGCTTAATAAATAATTATTAACTAAGATTCTTGACTTTACATCACAATGTAGAATATGTTTGCTCTATGAGCACAATAGTCCATTAGAGTAAGTTCTTATCCATAGATGATGTCAGGATGCAGTCTCTTCCCCGAGGGTGGGAAAGCTTGGAGAAAAGTTATTTGGTTGCAGAAAACTAAGAATAATATTTGTAAAAAGAAGAGAGAGGAAATTAAAAAACAGAAATGTGAAAAAATAAAGTTAAGTTGTAATGATACAATTATTCAGGTCACGAAGCGCCTCTACTTTAAAAAGAAAACTTGCGTATCACAGTTAGAAAGCATAAATTTCAACCAAGTAATAAAAGAAGCTAAGACCAATTTCTTATATGGCACAAATTGCCCAATATTTATCCCACATTTTACGGTAGATATGGTTTCAGCAGGGTGCCATAAGTACTTGAATTAACATTAAAAAGCCAATGTGGTTTTTAAATTATTGATGTGCATGTTCATGGTGTTTTCTTGCTCAAATTTAATAGCTCTCCCTTCAGCTCCATATCAAAAGATTACATCTTTTACTACACCTTAGACTCATCCTCACCCAAACATCTTTATTACAACATATTAAACTTTCATGTTCCAAGTGAAGATTCTTGTTCTCTGAATCTCTCATTCCCTTCTTACCATTGTTTCTTGATTCATGGGGGCCTAGAATTATTTTTACCCTCTCTCTTCTATTAGTCTCTTAGCTCCATATTATTTTCCAACAAGACATAAGAACTTATTACTTCAACTCTCTTGACAAAATTTTCAACACTCTTGCTTTTCAGATAACCTGTCAAGCAAAGGCATAACCCTGAATTCCTCCTCTAATATACCCAAGTTATTCATCAGGCAGTATAAAACCACCTTTTTTACACCTAATTTGTGGCAATGCAAATTCATCCTCTTCTACATTTCCTAGGTGCTACAGATATTTCTTAATTGGGAAGTTGTGTTAGCTTCTTTACCCATTCCCCACTTCAGCACATTTGGAGATGTGCACTTTTCTTAAATCTGCTCTGGTATCTGCTGCCTCTCACTCTCAGATTTTCTAGTAGGATACATTGTGAGATTACTAACATTTAAAAAATATATATTTAAAGTAAGAAAAACCGGGAATAAAATCTTCAAGTATCCCTTAGGTCTGTTTTGTACATTTGTTGTGAATATTGCCAGTATTTACTGCACTTAACATTTTGCTTCATTTTGATAAAGAAACAATAATAAATTTGGACAATGGTAATGAAGGATACACTTCAAAAAATTTAACACTTCACAATATTTTATGTGAATTATGAGAAATGGACTATGGCATTTTTATAATGACCAATCATGTGTTGACCTAATTTTATTCAAAGTATGTAATTTTTTTCTTTTTTGTGACGCTTACACTAAAGTGATCTTTTTTTTTTTTTTTTTTTTTTTTTTTTTTTTTTTAACAGAATCTCGCTCTGTTGCCCAGGCTAGAGTGCAGTGGTGCAATCTTGGCTCACTGCAACCTCTGCCTCCCAGGTTCCAGCAATTCTCCTGCCTCAACCTCCCAAGTAGCTGGGACCACAGGCGTGCGCCACCACACCCAGCTAATTTTTGTTATTTTTTTAGTAGAGACAGGGTTTCACTATATTGGCCAGGCTGGTCTCGAACTCTTGACCTCATGATCCACCCGCCTCAGCCTCCCAAACTACTGGGATTACAGGCATGAGCCACCATGCCCAACCCAAAGTTACCTCATTTTTTTGAGAAATTGAATGTGACTATTTTATGTCTGTAGAGGACTCAAACTATGTGACACTTAAATACATTTGCTATTTAAAATACGTATTGACTTGATTCTAAAATCACAGAACTTCATAAGGCTCTAAAAAACATGCAATAGCTTAACTTTCAAAATATGTACAGCAGCTTCGTAACAAAAAGGGAAAGAAATTCATAGATGAGGAATTAAGTTTGAATGTTGATTTTCTTATGAAATACTGAAACCTTCCTAGCCAGAAATGCTGTTGTTTTGCAAATGCTGACAGTTAATAGAAATTCATGGGTATGGTTTTGATGTGTAAGCATTTTGAAACTGTAGTACAACCACTGTGATTCATTGTGCTGTATATAAAACATTTTGATTTTTCAATCTCATAGGGAAGTAAAAAGATTTATAAAGGCCTATAAAATGTTTTGACTGTTCTACAGGCACAAAGCAGTATTATTCAACTTCACCAGAAATAGTACAGAGTGGACATTGAATTGAAACTGAAATTTTGAAGAAATCATATTCCCTGGTTGCTTCCTTTGTTTAGGAAAATTGTTTAACATGTTTTGTGCTTACCTTTCTGATCAATAAAATAAGAATAGAACAATGCTATCTGGAGCTTCTTGACTATCTTATAGAAGTGTTATGTAAAATATCGAAGCTTCTTTGAGCTTTAGGAAATTCAAAGATTTGTTTTCTGTCCCTAATGCAAAATATTTGAAAATCTAGTGAGCTGAAAATATTCAAAATCCAATAATACACTCAATGCACAAACAACAACATTTGTTTTCTTTTAATATCCTCTAAATTGCTCCCGTTTGTTACACAGAGGGTTGTGAGACTTTCTTAAACATTTGCAATCTCAGATAGTAAAATTACCAAAAGACCTGTGAAAATTACCACATTATCTGTGGAAAAAGAAAGTTTTTTATTTTAGCTATAAGATTCTACTTTTTCTTTTCCTGATTTGTTAGTGGAACTGGATTATCAGAATTCAAAGCATCGTAAGTGCCACAAGGATGACCATAACAGGAAATTATTCTGATATTAATCCTGAAGTGAAAAGACAAAGTGATTGAGAAAAGAGAGGAAAGAGAGCAAGCTAGTTACTGCTGTATAACAAATCATCCCCAAAGTCAATGGCTTAAAACAGCAATCATCCTTCTCACAGGTCTGCAGATCAGTAGGCATGAGCAGATACGGGCTGTGTTTGGCTAGGCTCTGCTGGTCTTGGCTGCAACATGTAGCTGAGAAAGAAGTCTACATTATGTGTCTTTATGTTTATTTGTTCAGTGAGCCAGCTGGGACATATTCCTGTTATGACAACAATAGGGCATAAGTTAGCAAGTTGACACATAACAATGTTTTCTAAGGCCTAGCTTCAAAACTGGTAAGCTCTTAACTTCTGCCCACAAAGGTCAAATTAAGCATTATGACTGAAGGCAAAGTCAAGTAATATCTATGGAAAAGCACAAGAATTCTTGTATGGCAAATTTGTAGCTAGATACAAGAATTTTGGATGGAAGATAAAGAGGCAACATTAATAATTCAGTTTTTCACAGGCTTGCTCCAAACATGAGAACGAGAGCAATACCAAACACATTATCATTTATTATTATTTGAGATGGAGTCTTGCTCTGTCACCCAGGCTGGAGTGCAGTGGTGTGATCTTGACTCCCTGAAACATCTGCCTCCCAGGTTCAAGTGATTCTCCAGCCTCAGCCTCCCAAGTGGCTCAGATTATAGCTCAGCCTTCCGAGTAGCTGGGACTATAGGCATGCCCCACCACTCCTGGCTAATTTTTGTATTTTTAATAGAGACAGGGTTTTGCTATGTTGTCCAGGCTGGTCTCAAACTCCTGTCTTCAGGTGATCAGCCTCCCTTGACCTCCTGAGGTGCTGGGATTACAGGCATGAGCCATGGTACCTGGACAAAACACGTGATTATTATTACTATTGCTCTAACTATTATAATTGTTGATTATTATTTCCTTTACTGATAAACAAGTGGCACATACATAATAGTGGCACATACATAATACTGGAAGACTAACATAAAATTTAGATACTAAATTTTGTTCCCTACTCTGATTATCACATCAAAGATTCTTTCAAAAAGAAAAAAATAACACATTTAATTGAACAATACTTGAGAGGTGTCAAGGTTGACCTTTATCCTAGATTTTGACCACACCATGCATGTATGCCTTTCTTCCAAGGACCCCTAAATCAGGCCTAGGGGAAATCCTAGCTGCTGCTCCCTGCAAAATGTCCCTTTCCAGGAAGACATGGCCAGGAAGATCAACACAAAATCTCCCTAACAGCAGTTAGGGTCTCCACTCCTGAGGGTGGACTAAAAGGAGTTAGTTAGCTTGCCTTAGGTAGACAGCAAGGAAATGGTCTCCAGGGAGCCCCCGGCCCATGGATCAGTGCTTCATCCCCACATAAAATAAAAAACAGCCTGGGAAAAAATTCAAGCTTCAGGCACTGATAAGGGAACTATCATAGCTTGTTCTTCCTCGAGACATGCCTTTGGCTGTACAGATAGAAAAAACTCCGGCCCATTTGGATAAAAACTTGCACAAAGGTCCAGCTCACTCAGATAAGGAGACAAGGCCTAGCATAGACATGCCTTTGTTCTTTGTATAGTGACAGGTTCCCCCAAAAAAGTTTTTTCTCTTTTTGTGGGCATGGGCATGGTAGGCTCTGGTGGGTTCTGGCAGGCACTCTACTTTCCTTTATTTGGAATGTAAGTCCGGCTTCTATGAATCATCCTTTCAGCCCCGATTGGTCCTGGGTCAAGGTCCCATGCCAAGCTTTTACTTAAGTTTCTGATAGGTCCTGGGCCAAGTTAAGGAGCATCTGTGAATCATCATTTCAGCTCCTGATTGGTCCCAGGCCAAGCTTTCTGATTGGTCCTGGGCCAGAATCCTGGGCCAAGCTGAGTCACACATTCTTCAAGACAGCCTTCAGACTAAGCACATTCCTTCCCCTTCACAGTTCATAAAAACCCTGGACCCCAGCCTCATAGGGGACACCTTGCTTGGGCCCCATTTTCTGCTGGCAGAGAGCTTTCTTTGTCATTTATCAAACTTTTGCTCTAACCTCACCTTTGTGTCTCCACTCCCTAATTTTCTTGGAGGTAGGACAAAGAACTCTGGGCATCATCTCAGACAAGAGACTGTTACATCTTGGTGGATTGCTGAGACTACAACATTAGGGCTTGAATGATCTTTGGTAAATAAGAATATTTTTTGGTTTGATTAAAAACAGGCATGTCTTCAAAGTTTTCAGTATTAGGTATAATACTGATGTATCCTTCTTTCTACTATAGTTTAATGATAAAATAAGCCTACATTATATTTTTACTACAAAATTTGTCAACAGGAAAAACAAAATGATGTCCAGTGGTTAAACATCTTTTCTTTATAAGTAATCAAGGCATAATTGTTAAAAATAAGTGAGTTAGGCCGGGCGCGGTGGCTCATGCCTGTAATCCCAGCACTTTGGGAGGACGAGGCGGGTGGATCATGAGGTCAGGAGATCGAGACCATCCTGGCTAACAAGGTGAAACCCCGTCTCTACTAAAAATACAAAAAATTAGCCGGGCGCGGTGGCGGGCGCCTGTAGTCCCAGCTACTGGGGAGGCTGAGGCAGGAGAATGGCGTGAACCCGGGAAGCGGAGCTTGCAGTGAGCCGAGATTGTGCCACTGCAGTCCGCAGTCCGGCCTGGGCGACAGAGCGAGACTCCGTCTCAAAAAAAAAAAAAAAAAAAAAAAAAAAATAAGTGAGTTAGACACTAGTAACATAAAATTTCCGTGAAAAATATGTACTTTCTATACCAGAAAATTTTAACATATTTATAATCAATAATGAAAAATTGAGGTTGAGGAAAATATGTACAAACAAGAATTTAATTATTAGCTCTAGCCAAAGAACAAACAGACAAACACAAGAAGGTAGTGATACAATTTTGCCTCTTTTATAGTTTCTTATTACAGTGAGACTAAAGATATTAGAGACTGTTCATAAACATGTTCTATGCCACATTGCCAAATTGTACTATGGGAGAGTACATGCTTCTTACAAGTGCAAGATATATATATATATATGAATCTACAGATTATGGATGTAACAGAGAGTTCACGGTTTCTGCCAAGTGTTCACTGAAAATGAAAGTCATTAAGTTTAAGAATTTTAAGAAATATATGTAACTAAAATTACTAGAAATAATAAGGACAACGTCTATATGAAACTATACAAGAAAGATAAGATGTTCTTTGGTAAAGAAAAGCTGTAAAGTATGAGGATATTTTGTTTTGTTTAAAGAAAAAGAAATTTCTGTCCTAAAGCAGAATAAATGTTTTTTTCCTAAAATGAGAAGAGAAAAAATATAAGGCAAAACTGAATTGATTAGAAAGTTGTAGGCTTGTGGAAGAGAAATTTCATGAAAGAAATTTTATGTGTGTAAGATGGCTAACATCTAACATTAGAAAACAATTGTTTTTTTCTAAAAAGTAAGCCTTATTAATAAAAGTACACTGATGTGAAAGTAGAATTTGGTTCTCTCCATTCAAACAATAAGGCTTTTATAAAGTATTGGTCTGCTTTTAGTAGGAAAATGTGAAAGGTCTTTATTTAACTTTTGGGTAATTGGTCTAGGAAACAAAGATGCTCTGTTTTATTAAGTTAATTTTCTAGGCTTCGTGTTGTCTTCGTTGGGTTTTAATCTATTTTAAAAACCTGAGTGCTGTCTATGAAACAGTTAAGGTTTTCTACAACTATGTAACTTTCTGTATTTGCCTTTGAAGTCTTTTAATTATGAATTTGGTTAAATAAGTAACTATTGTTCACAGTGACCTGTGATCCTATTTTGATAAAATGTTTTAAACCTTTGATATTTTTGACAAGCTTCCCAAATCAAATTCTAAGTTAAATCTTTTTCTTTACCTCAAATTAGCTTTGTAATTTTCCTGATGGGTCTTTGGAACATTTCAAAAGGATATCTCATTATATAGAAAGAGAGATTTATATATTTAATTATATAAAAATTATTGCAAATTCATAATTTTAAACCTTCTTTAAGTTATATTTTATGGACATGTTATTAATGTGTGTTTTACACATTGTATGAAATTCATAGGAATCTAGCACTCCTTGTATAATGATATTAGTCATAATTCTAGTTACTATCTTAAAATATTGTATACAAGAGAAATAACTGAAATTCCTTGTCAATTGTATTATCACATCTTTAACCACGGCCATTTTAAGTCTTATTAACAGTTAATTCTTTACTCTGGTACTTTCCAGAGCAACAATAAACAACATATTTTGTCTTCACGAAGATTCTCGGAAAGGACTCACAAACACAAGTTTCTGATAACTTTAAGATTACACCATTGGACCGGGTAAGAATTCTCAGAACTGTAATGACGAAACTAATTAGTTAATAAAACTGCTAACACAACATGAAACAGAACATTAATTAAATATGAAGAAAATGATTGACTGATTTTCATGTTAAGTCAGCCAGTAGAGAAATTGTTAAGGTATGCAATAGAAGGAAAGCCATAAGATTTATCCAAGTCAAATTACCTATAACATTTTTAATAAACAATATTATGCACCTGAATTGGAGAAACAAAATTTCTATTTAAGAGGATGTAAATCCAATGTTAGCTGTGGGCTAATGGAGGACCTAGGACAGCCACCTTATCCTTCGTAAGTTGATATAATAGTCCAAAAGTTAAAGAAATGTTGAAATTATTATTAAATAATTAAATGATTATTAGAATTTTGGCATGCATTTTAATTTCTTAAAAAATTGCAGTACCTTATTTTTCCTCACCACATTAACTGCTGAGAATAAGTTTGATTGATAATGCAAGTTTGAAGTTATATCTTGCAGGTAATTTTAGCAGAGACACAGATAAATAGCTTTTAAAAATTCAATACATTATAAGTAGTACAAAATGTGGTGGCTTTTTTTCCCCTATGTTATATGCTTCTTACCATGGAATAGTATTACTTTTATTTAAGATTCCAAGTTTTTCAGGAGTAACAATTCTGTTTTCAAAAATAATGTCTTATGGATAGCCAAGATAATTGTGATACTTACCTTTCTTTGGCAATTAGCTTATATCATAATATTCAGGTGGAAACAGATGGTAGAGAAGATAGGTTCTATTGGTGTTTTAGTTTAGAAAAATCTAAGAATTTGTAGAATTGAATAGGTGCTGAAATCATAATTCAATTGACACAGTTATTGAACTCAGTCATCCCTATGCTAGAATCTGTGCTTTTAACAACTAAAGTATTGCTCCATGTTAGTCAACAATGCTATCAAGGCTCCAAGCTTCCATGATCCTTGGGTGGGATCATCCTTAACATGTGGCTTTTGTCTTCTTGGCAGTGGGACAAATAATTCGTGCCTTAGCATAAGGCATTCCAGGCAAGGAGTAAAAAACATGTTTCATATTTGTGTTATGGTTATGTGTTTCCAGTCTCCAATTTCCTCAAGGGGCCCTATGTCTGTATACGGGGCTCTGTTCTCTCTTCATAGCTAAATTCAGATCTCTGTTCACTAGATCTGCAGAATTTTCAGTTTGCAAGTTAAGTTTTGACTTGAAGCGCTGACCGTCTCTTTTGGTCTGAGCAACCCCAAGATAAATTAATCACCATTAGGGATTCCTTTAGGCCACAGCATTTTGATCACCACTCCCATTTGTCTCTTTTAAGGCAGTCATGCTTACTTCATCATTTACTTCTATCATTTACATTGAAAAGATAATAATTTCTACTGCAGCAACAGCAGCCCTGGTCATCTTTGCCCTATAAATAATAAAAATTAGCACTTTCTATAACACTCATACTTCACTTATTAATCCTTTCTAACACCTAGAGAAATGACTATATTTTGGGCTCTCTTGATTCAGTTAGAGGTAAGCGGGCACATATGATATACCTGCTCCCAAATTATTTTCTTTATAATTCTTAAGATTTGTTATTTTGTATCACCTGAGAAACTTTTGCAAAATAAAAATTTTGGAGCTTTTCTTCACAATTTAAGTAGAATTTCTGGAGGTGGAAATTTGGGAATCAGTATGTTTTAAATAGCACTTCAGGTGACTCTTACGTGCACCTAACCTTATTGAGCATGTAACACTGTAGTACCCACTGCACCTAATTCACAGGATAAATAACCACATCTATTTTATAGCTGCTAGAACTAGTACGCTTTTTCAGATATACCTATTGAGTTCAGATTAAGTATTAGCTACTCTTTTAGGGTTGTAGGGTGTATCACTGAGTAACAACATCAACAAAACTTGTATAAGCAATCCATAATTTCTGGTAAATGTAGGTTTTAAAAAATAGAGCTCCTCTAAAATATATTTTGATTTTCTTGTTTTAGCATCCTCAAAACCCATTTCCACAATTCTTTCCAGGTTTCATCTATTATAAATGAGCAACCTCTTCCAGCTCATGAGTTAGAAATTCCTAGGATACGCTAGCATCTTATTCTAGTTTTATATTTGGAAACTGTTATGGTGCGTGGAGGTGATAGGAACTGACAATGGCTTGCAAGAAACCTGACTCTGGTTACCTAAAGACTACCTTCTTATCACAGAAGAAAATGTGAACATTCCCTCATGACTTTTCATCAGTTAGCAAGAGTTCTATCTATTAATAATACCAAAGATTTTATGTCCATCTTCCTCAACAAGGCCACATAACCAATTTCAGAATTGCTTAGTTTCTGTGAAGCTTTTTAGTTGGCAGCGTTTCCTAGAACACATTTTTGTTTTGATCAGGGTTTTTAGTTATAAGCAAAAGAAGCCGATCCTATGTAAAGAACATTGGGCAATTCACTGACAGTTTTAGAGACTAGAGAAGCAACTTCAAGACTAAGCTGCCAAAAAAATGGCTGTAAATGTAATTCTATAGAACGGGCCTGAGGAGCCAAAAATGACACAGTTGATTCTGCTGTCAGGACTTGGATTTATTCCAATCACTGCTTCTTTTAACAAAAATTCCTCCTCTGTTTCTGAAACTCAACTTTGTAACTATTAATATCCCCCACATTTGAACATCCTCTGCCACAAACACCAGCAAAGTGAAATCTACAGGGAGTCCTTTTCATCAAATCACATTCTTCTGAATTTAGGACTACACAAGTGATTATGATTGAAGTTGCCTAGCTCAGATGAACTTAAATTAGCTTTAGCTGTAGCTAGAAAAGATCCTCTATATTCTTTGGCTTCTCTTCTCCAGGGAACAGAAATTTATAAGCAGGGAAAATTTACAAACATAGCAAGGATGTTCAACAATCGTGGGTGCAAAATGCAGTCCCTCTATGACCTTGCAGACTTGGCTTGGTGGTAACTTTTCTGCGGTCTCTAGAAATGAAAGGTAGAATTTTGCACAGCCTGCATGCAGCTGCCCCCTGGGCTCCCTTGGCAAGCCTCCACTCCACTGCATGCTCTAAAAGCCTCCAGCTCCACAGACACCCGGATTTTCACTGCATCCACATTACTGGTTGTTGATCTGCTCTTCCACCTGTACTCTAGAAGATGACCTACTGTTTGCTGAGCAACACCAGACCAACTCCAGTTTGACAAAGTCAGCCAACTCCTTTGCCATCCTGTGCTTCAAATCAAATATTCTTTAAAAAGACCTTAGTCTCTTCGAAGTTTGTCCTTCCTTGTGAATTC